>NC_000004.12:78921381-79072896 GCF_000001405.40 Homo sapiens | reverse complement strand
AAATAAATTGCGGTATGGACATACAGTGTACAACTACCCCAAAATAAAAAGATATGAACTATTATACACACAATGTGGATAAAAATTAAAATAATTATGCTGAGTGAAAAACAAAAGTACATAATATTTGACTCAACTTATATATAATTCTAGAACATTCAAACTGTTTATAGTAAAAGAAAGATTAGTGGTTGCCTGGGGATAGATGTCAGGAGGGAAAAATTATTTTGAAGTTGCACAAGGCAACTTTTAGGGTATACACATGTTCGTTATCTTGATTATGTGATGGTTTAATGAATGTATACATACGTTAAAACTTATCAAATTGTATGCCTGCAATATGTATAACTTGTTATACAAATTATGCCTTAATAAAGCTGATTTTAAAGTAGATGCTTAGCATCTTTAATCATCAGAGAAATACAAATTAGAACCAGAATGAAATACCACTATACAATCACTAGAATAGCTAAATACATATGACAATACCAAGTGTTAGTGGTGATATGTAACCACTGGAATTCGCATGTATATTGCCGTAGAAATCTGAATGTTAAAAATCACTTTAGAAACCAGTTTGATAATTTCTTTAAAAAGGTAAATATACACTTACCATATGGACTAGGAATTCCACTTGGTATGTGAAGAGATGTTTACACAAAGATTTGTGCTCAAATATTTTAAGCAATTTTATAATAACTGAAAACTGGAAACATTTCAAATGCCCATAAACAGGGATATGGCCAAGGAAATTGTGGTATATCATATAATGTAATGCTACTCAGCAATAAAATGGAACTAGCTTCTAATATACAGAATAATGTGGAAGACTTAAAAAGCATTACGCTACATGAAGGAAACCAGACTAAAAAGACTACATACTGAATGATTTCATTTCTATGAAATTCTAGAATAGGCAAAACTAGTTTATAGTTATAAAAGTAGAACAAACACTGATGGGGTGAGGGATGTGGGTATTGGTTAAAAGGGGGTAAAAAGAAACTTACTGGCATGATGGAACTGTTCAATATCTTAACTATGGATATGATCATGTATATGTTTGCCAAAACGCATCAAACTTTAAAGAATGAATTTATTCCACCTAAGTTATATGTCAATAAAGCTTATTTTAAAATAATCTTCACAAATCACCAGTTTTCTAAAAAAAATCACTACCAAAATTAATTTAAAAAATAGAAAACTTGAAATAATTTCTATAGAAAAAAATGTATCAATAATTTTATGAAAATTAATTTTAAAACCCTTATGATATTGAACACTTTACAAGAAAATATGTAAATGATCAAAATCGAGGACACAAAGTTCTAGAAAATAAGAAAAAGGTACATTTTTAGATTTCCAAAGATTTAATTCCCAAAGACAGTTTTATGGGGAAGTTCCTTCCAATCTGTTCAGGAACTGATCGTGTCTGTTCCATAGCACAGAAAAACATAATTTATTTAGTCAAGTTAGTAAAAAAATAAAGTTAAAATTTGGTAACAATATTAAATCCACATAAAACTACAAAACAAAATCCTACTCTGACCAAGCAAGATGTCTTAAAAGAATTCAATTATTATTCAGTATCCTAACATTGTTTTATCACAGAAATAAGCAAAAACAGGAAAACTATATATACATTTTAATCAATGGCCAGAAAGGCATTAGATAAAGAGATACAGTTCTGACTTACACATTTGAAACTATGAATAAACAACTTATTTCTTAATATGTTGAAGAAGTAAATCTCAAATTAAAGATGACACTTCACATAATGGCAAAACAATAGAAAGATTTCCATTCAAGTTGAATGAGTATATCAGAACTGTTATGAACACTGTCATGGAAATTTGAATCAATACAATGAAACAAAAATAAACAAATAAGAGGTATGACTGCTGGAAAGGCAAAAAAGATCTTTTTTGGAAGATGCATTTTAAGAAAATACCAAGAGATTCACCGAAAAAATGTATAAAAGTAATACAAGAATTCAATACGATGGCCACTTATAAAGTATACATACATTCAAGGACGTTCCAACATACCAACACTAACCACCGAAAAATATTCAATTTTCATCTTGTATTCTGGAAATTGTTAGGAGAATAGATTTCAAGTGTTCTCACCACAGAAAAATCATAAATATGTGAACTAATGCATATGTTACCTAGCTCAATTTAGCCATTGCTGATATATACATATTTCAAAACATCTTGTTGTACTTGATAAATATATATAATTTTTATTTGTAAAACTAAAAAAAATTCAACACTCAATAAACCGAAAATATTAAATACCTATAAATAACCCTAACATGATATGTGAGAAATTCCTACCCATAAAAGTTTTAAATTTTACTGAGGAAAAGATAAAAATAATTTGTTATATATAATAGCAAGACTGAATTTTTACAATGTTTAATTTTTTTCATATTAAATTATAAATATAATCTAGGTTAAAGATACTCTCCAAATAGTATCTTGTTTTTATTTTCCACGTTGAGTTTTGGTTTGGTTTAGTTTGGTTTTTGGAACTTAAAAACATTTTTCTAAACATTATAAGTAGCAATAAACTTTTAAAAATAGCTGAAATACTTTTGGGGGGTACAAGTAATAATTTAATGCACTCCTGTAATTTTTAAAGATCAAATTAGTATAATTGGGATATGCATCACCTTAAAATATTTGTCTTTTATTTATGCTAGAAACATTTGAATTCTCTTCTAGGTATTTTTAAATATACAGTAGATTATATTAAACTATAGTCATACTACTGATCTATGAAACACTGGGTCCTATTTCTTCTATAAAAACTGTATATTTGTACCCACTAAATAACCCCTCTTCACCACCTCCTCTACCCTTCCTGGCCTCTAGTAACCACCAATATACTCTATCTTCCTGAGATCTACTTTTTTAGCTCCCACATATGAGTGAGAAGATGTAATATTTGTCTTTCTGAGCTTTGCTTTTTTCACTTAATATAATGACCTTCAGCATTGCTGTAACTGACAGCGTTTCATTAGTTTTTATGGCTGAATAATATTCTATTGTGTATATGTACTACATATTATTTCCCGTTAGGGACACTGATGGGAACTTAGGTTGATTCCATATTTTGTCTATTATGAATAATGCTGAAGTAAACATGAGAGTGTAGATATCTCTTTGATATTATGTTGGAATATTTACCCAGAAGTGGAATTGTTGGATCATATGGTGGTTATATTTTTAGTTTTTTGAGGAACCTCCATACTGTATTCCACAGTGGCTTTACCATTTACATTTTCACCAACCGTGTACAAGAGTTTCCCTTTCTTCCACATCTTCACCAGCACCCATGATTGCCTGTCTTTTTTATAAAAACCATTTTAACTAGGAGGAGATAATATTTAATTGTAGTCCTTATGTGCATTTCTGTGATGTTTAGTGATGTTGAGCATTTTTCATTTATTTATTGGACATTTGTATGTCTCATTTTGAGAAATGCTTTATTTAGATCTTTTGCCCATTTTTAATTGGAATTTTTGGGTTTTTAGCTATTGAGTTGTTTGAGCTCCATATATATTCTGGTTATTAATCCCTTGTCAGATGGATAGTTTACAAATATTGTCCCCCATTCTGTAGCTTGTCTCTTAACTTTGTTGATTGTTCCCTTTGCTGTAAAGAAGCTTTTTGCTTGATGTAATTTCATTTGTCTATTTTTACTTTGGTTGTCAGTGCTTTTGAGATTTTACAACAAAAAACTTTTACCCAGTCCAATGTCATGGAGTGCTTCTCCAATGTCTTCTTCCAGTAGTTTCATAGTTTTAAGTCTTTAATCAACATTTTAATTTGATTTTTGTATATGGTGAGACACAGGGGTCTAGTTTCATTCTGCATATGGTCATCCAGTTTTCTCAGCACCATTATTAAAGAGATTGATCTTTCTCCATTGTATTGCTCTTAGTGTTTTAATCAAAAGAGTTGGCTGTAAATGCATGGATTCAAATCTATGTTCTCTATTCTGTTCCATTGGTCTATGAGTCTGTTTTTATACCAGTGCCATGCTGGTTCTGTAGTATAATTTGAAGTCAGATAATGTGATTCCTCCACTTTTGAGCTTTATGTGCAGGATGTTTTGACTATTCTGGGTCATTTTGTGGTTTCATAAGAATTTTAGGACTTTTTTTCTATTTCTGTGAAGAATGTCATTGGTATTTTGACAGGAATTGCATTGAATCTATAAATTTCCTTGTGGAGAGTTGCTATTTTAAGAATATTAATTTTTCTAATCCATGAACATGGAATAGCTTTCTTCTTTCTTGTGTGTCCCCTTAAATTTCTTTCATCAGTGTTTTATACAGATTTACTTGTATAGATCTTTCATTTAGTTTGATTAAATTAATTCTTAGATATTTTATATTCTTTGTAGCTATTGTAAATGGGATTGCTTTCTTGATTTCTTTTTTCCTTTCACTGTTGGCATATATAAATGCTACTTATTTTTCCACATTGGCTTTGCATCCTGCAACTTTACTGAATTTATCAGTCCTAATAGTTTTTGGTAGAGTCTTTCGGTTTTTCTAAGTACAAGACCATGTCATCTGTGAACAAAACTGATTTGACTTCTGCCTTTCCAATTTGGATGCCATTTCTTTCTTTCTTTTGCCAAATCATTCTGGCCAAGACTTCCATTATTATATTGAATAAAAGTGGTAAAAATGGGCATCATTGTCTTGTCCCAGATATTAGAGGAAAGGATTTCAATTTTTCCCCAATCAGTACAATGTTTGCTGTGAGTTTGTCATATGTAGTTTTTATTATTTTGAGGTATGTTCTTTCTATACCCAGTGTTTTGAGTGTTTTTATTATAAAAGAATGTTGAACTTTATTGAATGCTTTTTTCAGTATCTATTGAAATGATCATATGGTTTTTCTTTTTGGTTCTCTGAGTGTGATGTATCATGTTATTGATTTATGTATGTTAAACCAGCCTTGCATCTCTGGGATGAATCTTATTTGATCATGGTGAATGATCTCTTTTACATGTTGTTGGATTCAGTTGGCTGGTTTCTTATTGAGGATTTTTGCATCTATGTTCATCAGCGACTTTGACCTGTAATTTTCTTTTTTGTCGTGTCCTTGTCTGGTTTAGTTTCAGGATAATGCTGGCCTTGTCCAATGAGTTTGGAAGTATCCCCTCCTCTTCAATTTTTGTTGAAGAGTTTTAGTGTAGTTAATATTAGTTCTTCTTTAAATGTTTAGTAGAATTCAGCAGTGAAGTCATCAGGTCCTAGACTTCTTTGATAGGACACTTTTTATTATGGCTTTAATATCATTTCTCATTTTTTTGTTGAGGTTTTGTATTTCTTCATGGTTCAATCTGGTAGGTTGTGTGCATCCAGGAATCTATCCATTTCTTCTGAGTTTCCCAGCTTGTTGGTGTACAAATTGATCATAATAATCTCTAATGATTCTTTGTATTTCTGTGGTCTCAGTTCTTATATCTCCTTTTTCGTTTCTGATTTTATTTATTTGGGTCTTCTCCCCTTTTTTCTTAGTCTAGCTGAAAGTTTGTTGATGATTTTATCTTTTCAAAAAGCCAACTTTTCATTTCGTTGATCTTCTGTATTTTTTCAGTCTCCATTTCATTTATTTCTGCTCTGATATTTATTATTTATTTCCTCAACTAATCTTGGATTTGGTTTGTTCTTGCTTTCCTAGTTCCTTGAGTAGAAGAAATAGACTGGAAGAAAGGCAAGTACAGCCAGACCTTTGTACCCATGAGTTTCGCATCCACAGATTCAACCAACCACAGATCAAAAATAATCGGGGGAAAACAATTAAAAGTAACAATATAACAATAAAAAATATAAATTTTGAAACATAGTATAACAACTATTTACATAGAATTTACATGGTATTAGGTATTATAAGTAATCTAGAGATGGTTTAAAACATGTGAGAGAACGTGTGTAGGTTATATGCAAATACTATGCCATTTTATATAAGCGACTTGAGCATCCTTGAACTTGGTATCCTTGGGGGTCCTGGAACCATACAGGAAATGTGGAGAGGAAACGTGAAGTATTTCCATACAAGAAACACTAGAAGAAAAGTAGGTGGCAAAGGGACTTTTTTTTTTAACCTACACTCCTACCCTAGAAGCACAGATAAGTGTAAATATGTATTATTTATGCTTACCTTCCTTTTCTCCTTCAAGCATTAAAAGAATAAGAGCTATTAATATTTTTCAATCACTTAATTCTATTTACAAAGTTGGTACTCAGATCACACCTCTGAAAGCCACATGGACTGTACCATATAATTACCCCAATTCTAATCCCTTGGTACTTGAGAGGCAGTGATGCACAGTGATGAAGAACAAGCTTCTCAGACCCCCTGGGTAAAGCTCTGGCTCCACCTCTACTAGCTATACAAACTTCAACAAGTTACATAAGTCCTCTGTGCCTGTTTTCTCATGGATAAAATAAGCATGTAGTTAGGATTAAATGAGTTAGTACAGGCAGGATGTGCTTAAAACAGCCTATAATAAGGGCTATATAAGGTTCTGGTAAAGGAAAAAAAGTATATCCAGGACATACAGCAAATACAGTTTTTGATTAACATTTATCACAAACATGGCCCCATAATCTGTGATCCTTTGTCAGGCATATATACTGGTTTGGTTAACTAATCCATCCTGACAAAGCATTCATAAACATGCACTGGAAAAAATCTTTTACAAATTAAATAAAATCTAAATAGATTTTCAAGGCTTTTAATTTTACATAAGCACAAAAAGCAGTCAACCTAATTTTTATCACATGATTTGGACACCAAATTGGAATAACACAGAAAATTATGAATCTAAAAAACAAGGTATTCTATTGAGAAACTTTCACAGTAAATATTTAATTATTATTCATCAAAATACTTCATCAAATTACAGCTTTATCTTTATTGTTCTTTATAGAGCTAACAAATGATAGTTTAAGGTTATAGACGAAAATAGTTAAAAGACTTCTTTCTAGTTCCTTTCTTCTACCAGGTATTTGCAAACTTATAATTTCTACACTAACTCAACTATCAGGATCAAAGAGAGGCTATAGATAGATTTTAGTGTTTGATGCTTGTACTTGCTCTCCCTCTTTCTCTCTGTGTGTGTATGTGTGTGTATGTGTGTGTCCCCAACAATTCCTGTATGTCAAGAGAAAAATAGTACTTAGAGGAAAAGTTGGTGTGGAAACTGGGTCAGAGGCATAAAATTACATGGTTATGACAAGGCACAAACTGTTGTTTTCCCTCATCTGCAAGATTTTGTTTGTTTTTTTCTTTTTCAGCCTCAATGGAATCTATATTCAATATTAAATGCCAAACAAGCCCCCTCGACATTCTGGAAAACTCATCTTATCTTAATAGTGGCAGAGTCAGTGACTCAGAGCAGCCCACATGGGCCAAGGGAACTCATGACAGCTGCAGCTGAAAGAGTGAGAGAAGAGACACTTTCTTTTTCTAAGCATAAAATGCCTATGATGGCTCCTCAATTCAACTAACCCTTTAGCAGAGCCTCTATATACTAGGTGTATAAAATAGTTGTTGGCAGCTTGTTTAAAACATACAAAGAAAAAGTAAAAAGAAAATACATTTTCTTTAGCCATAGAGCTAAGATGATATGGGGTTATTTAGTGCCACCTCTATTATTAAATCAAATATAATTTAAAAACAAGAATGGTCCATTTCAATGTCAAATGAGTTTCATTCAGCACATGTCTGTTCTTTACTCTGCATGTTAGGTTTTATGCCTTCTGGAGAAAAATTTAAGTTTAGAGTGAAACTAGTCCTATATATAAACATATCCGAAAACGAGAATATGTAGGAAAATCCCCAAATGTCTAAGATTTCCGTTTCTGTCATAAATACTGTCATTAATTAAAATGTACTGGGCAGCCACCAGATGCACAGAACTATTCCAGGAACAATATAATAATAAGATTTGACATGTGTCTCTAAACAAAAAACAAGCTTAGGGTTTAAATATTTCAGGCAAATCTTTTACTTTTTCTTCCCTAAATTACCCAAATTATTGCATCAAATGTTCACTTACAGTTTTGATAACAATTCAACTTAAATTATAAACAGTTTGAATAAGTTATCAAAAAATCTCCTCTTTGAATGAAAAAGAAAAAATATAAAGCAAAATAAAACCCTTCTGCCATCACCACCACTAACAATTTCACAGCAAGAACAAAACTAATCCTACCAAAAATTAGTGGTATTTAAATAACAACATATTTTGAAAGTTCTAAACATGTTATGGATATCAGCTAATTTGTCTATCATGGCAGAAGGGACATGAGTTTATTATTATTAATTCCTTTGAAACCCATAGTTATAATTGAGACCATTTTATTGAAAGAGTGTTATATAATTGCAATATCTTTGTAATATCACAGAATAAAAGTCAAAGTTAACAATACAATTATTCATATCTATGTGCTCCTATTCTTTACTTTTTAAGACAGTGAGTTTAGTTAGAATTTCCCTGAATTTACCAAAACCACTTTCAGGCACATTTGGTCCCCTAGAGAGGAATCGCTACTATACCTTCATGAGGTATGTCTGTTGGGGTGGAAGTGAGGGCAAGAGGGTGACTTGAGATAATCACTGTTAAAATGTTTTATTTGCAAATGATAATTTCTCCTTTCACAAATATCAGTAAATATGCTTCTCTCTTACCCCTCTCTTTTCCTCCCTCTCAGGATATTAGGCAGATAAGAGTTATCAGTAAAGGTCATCCTCAATTTCTGTACAGAAATGATCTGTCTCCGGTATGTAATAAACATTTATCCATGCCTTTATTAGCTATATTGAAGCTGACAGTTCTGTTAAACCATTTTCTTTCATTTTGCTAGGTCATGACGGTTAATGCTGCTAAAAAATCTCATCACTGCTTTTGATCACTGTATTGTCTTCCGTGTATTATCAGAATTTTGTGAAGGTAAGCACTGGCTGGAATGACCTATTAAAGTTACAGCCCGTTGAATCTCTGGTTGTTTTTTTTTTCTTTTCATCACAATAAAAAGGCAAAGGAGTGCAAAGAATAAATTTTCCTCAGAGGGTATATTTAGTTGGATAGTTGATGTGTTCAGCCAACTCTGAATTATCCCTAGTAAAAAGTATCCAAAGCAACAAATATAAATGAAAACAACACATAATCCAAAATCTTCATTTTGGTTGAATCTTTTACCAGAGTATTCTCAAGATCTAAAAGACAACTTCACATTTTACTCAAATTCCTTTCTCATCTCCAGGGATCAGTTCTCAGGATGCAGGCAGAAGAAGAAAAAGCAAAAGCAAAAACTCACTCATTGAATACAGATCCCCAGATAATTGAGATGTGCAATGGGAAAACATGATTAGGGGAGGGGTCGTTTGCATCTGCATTCCTTTCCATCTTTCCCTCATCCAGACCACTTAACCTCTCCTCTTGCTCAAATCAATTTTTAAGAATGGTTTCTTTTGAGAAATGAAAAACAAAACAGCCATGAAAATGTCTGCCTTTGTTAATGGATTGAAGATCTTATAAAACTTGCCAAAAAGTTAGTTGTCAATTTCAAGGAAACAGTTCAGATCAGTTAAGAAATAAACCATCTGAAATTTCAAACATGTTTTCTTTCAGATCAACAAACATTTACTGAGTTCCTATTGCATTCCAGGTACTGTGGGAGATTCCAGAAATATAGATATGAAGAACTCATTTCTTCTCTCAAGTAGCTTAAAAGCAAGGAGGCAAAAAACAGATACTGAAAATTCACGGGGTAAAATTAAAGCACAGAGAAGAATCACCTTCCCCAGCCAGGAAGGTCATGGAGACTTTGAGGGAAACATGAGGTACAAACTAAATCTTGAAGAGCTGGCACAGTTATCCAGGTAAAGAAGCAAAAGCAGAGGAAAGGGTATCTCAGGCAGAGGGAATGGTATGAGCTAAGGCACAGATGCATGACAGTTATATGTATGCAGAGAACCACTGGAATCTCTAAGTTGCCCAAGCCTAGCAATCATAAGCATGGGAGACAAGAAAGGAAATAAAAAGACAACTTATTAAACTGGAAAGCTAGGGACAATACAAACTTTGGGGGCTGTGTAAGGAGCTTAAATTAGTAGTCTTTCCAACATAATTAATATGCAATAAAGCAAGAAACAATATGGCACTTTAATGCCATTATCCATTTTTTTTAAATTTATTTAAAAAATACATGTTTTGCATCTACTACATGCCAGGCACTGTTCTAGTTGCCAGTGGTATGCCGGTGAACATAATAACGAAGTCCCTGAACTCATGGCTTGTTCATTCGGATGGCATGAGAACGACAAGAAACTAACAGCAATGACAATGTACGTCAGGTGGTGATAAGCTCTACTCTGTAGAAATAAATTAAGGCTGAATAAATGGGAGAGCAATGTGAGGTGTGGGAATGGGGAGCATGGTGTACTATTTTATAGAGTGGTGAAGACAAGGAATCTCTGAGAAAGTGGTATTTGAGCACAGACCAAAAATTTAAATAAAAAAAAAAGATGAGGGCCCGGCGCAGTGGCTCACGCCTGTAATCCCAGGACTTTGGGAGGCCGAGGCGGGCGGATCACCAGGTCAGGAGATTGAGACCATCCTGGCTAACACAGTGAAACCTCGTCTCTACTAAAAATACAAAAAAAAATAATTAGCCAGGTGTGGTGGCGGGCATCTGTAGTGCCAGCTACTCGGGAGGCTGAGGCAGGAGAATGGTATGAACTCGGGAGGTGAAGCTTGCAGTGAACCGAGATCGCGCCACTGCACTCCAGCCTGGGCGACAGAGCGAGACTCCATCTCAAAAAAAAAAAAAAAAAAAAAAGAGGACAAGAGCCATGTGGTACAGAAGAATTGCTTTCAAAGCAGACCTGATCACAGGTGCAAAGATCCTGAGAGGGAAATGTGATTGGCAAGTTGAAGGGAAAGCGAAGAGGCTGGTTTGGAGCAGAGTAAACAAGAGAGAAGGTAGGGCAGGTAGAGTAGAGTGCAGAGAGATGCAGATTAATACTGAGAACAGGCTTTTTCAATTTTTTATAATGATCTGATCCAAATATACCTTGTAGCTATATATGAGTGTCTTAGAGATAGATACTGAAATAGAGATATTTCAAAGTTTCATAAAACAATACTATATCCAGTGTACTCTGCTATTCTCAATTCTACTTTTTAAAAATTCTGGTCATAATCTATTAATTTTATTTTACAACCTACTAATAGGTCACAATCCACAGCATAGAAAATACTGAGGCAGGGCCATGGAGACCAGTTGAAAAAAACACATGTTCTTTCTAAGGTACACAACACCTTGCCCAATGCCAGGCACACAGGCATCCTACTATTATTTGTTGAATAAATGAATGAACATAATTAAATTAAATGCCCAAAGCATAAAGACTTCAAGTTGTTCATTTCTATGCCAAAACAAAACTCTAAGAACTTCATGATCTTCAATTTACAGTTTGTCACAAGGTTCATCAGAATGTACTCAGAATTTAACAGAATATTAGTGTTAGTCACTTGTCAGAATGGACAAAATGTTCTCAGGAAGACTTTACTGAAGGTAAGGGGACAGTACTTAAAATTTACTTTTAAAAAAGTATGTACAACTTCTGGAATACACATTTTTTTTCTGAATTAAAAAAATAGGTTGAGAGTAAGTCTCTAAAGAAGTTCACTGTTGTTTTGATGGAAGTTTATTTCTTCTACCCTGATGATTTCCAACATGGGATTAGAAAATCTTTTGATATAAATGGAAACATGTGCCAGAATTTTTGACTAACACATTTTATTTATTTTGTAAATGAATTGTATGTGAAGGAAACAACCACCCTCATGAAGTTAGCTATGCATGTTTCTAAAAAAAAAAAACAGAATTGAAGTTCAAAAAATTTGATATTTATTCTGTAGAATAATAATTGCTAACACACAATGCCAAGCACCGTTCTAAGCACTTTACAAATATAAAATTAATTAATTAAATTCTAACAATAATCCTATACAGGAGATACAATTACTGTCCCTATTTTACAGGCAAAGAAACTGAGATATAGAGAGCTAAAATAACTTACTGTGTTCCAAGGACTGCAACACTCTATGTATGTTAACTTATTTAATCTTCATAACAGCCTTATTTTACAAGTAAGGAAACTGAGGCACAGGGAGCTATAACTTACTCTTGTTCATCCAATTAGTAAGTCATGGAGCTGGGATTGAGCCCAGGGCAATCAGTTCCAGAGTCCACAGTCCTGACTACTATGCATTCTGCCTCCTTTAGCTGCACTATCTGTGCCAAGTTAGCACTGTAAAGTAGGACGACAATTGCCAAGTGAGACCTTAAAGAAAGTGTGAGCTCCTCAGGAGAGAACGGTAGCCCTGCTACACATATTTGGCACCAACCATTCATACAAGAACTTTTAAATCATCTTGAGCCCAAATTAATTCAATTATTAATGTCCTTCTGTATGTTTTGTTTTGCTTCTCTCTTGCTCACCTTAGTCCCAAGTTTGGAACATTGTGCCGTTAAGTTAAAAATGCAAATACCACATGAAAGAGTCTATGTGTCTATTTCATATTCATTTTTAAAATTTGGTAATTAAATGTCTTTGGGTATTTATAAAGAAATGCAGACATCTAAACAAATGTCCACCTCAGCATTTATGGCTCTTATTGAAAAAGAATTGCTCTCATGCTCTCCTTCATTTGTTGTTTTTTTGTCCAGCGCTTAATACACACACGTATGCATACAAGGGTGCTAACCTTGATGGTCTGCTCCTTAACCTAAACTATCCTCTTTGTTATCATGATAATGGTCATATTAATGGTCAGGCCTATTTCTTAAAGAGACTTTGTTCTCCATTGGAACTCAGCATAAATATACCAATAATAATCATTCATGTTCAGATGTTCTATCAACCTACCTTGGAGATGAAGGCTGGCCCCAGCAATGATAACTCTTTTCACCATCCTGAGTAAAGATGCAGACAATGGAAGTACACAGAACACCATGATGACCTCTGACCTTCACGCCTGAGGTCACTGGGCTCCAAAACAAGAGACAAGACCCATGTGGTCATGGGAATCTCAAAGAGACATTTCTAACCATAACCTGGCATTTCTTAATGAGCTCACATTGCTTAAACTCTAAGTTATGGTCAAAAGAAAAACATCTCTTTATCAACAGGTAAAGATTTTGAAATCCTAAAATAAATTCAGCAGTTGAAAAAAATAAATAACTGCAATATCCACTTTCCCATGGCAATGTGGTATTTCAAGCTAGGCATTTTCTTTGAGAGTTTCCCACTGTTTGGATTGAAATCAATAAAAACAAAGAACCAAATGCTTCATAGCTCTACTAATATTTCTTTTTTAAGCGTGTCTTAGAGACAACTAATGATAATCAAAAACTACATAGTGATTAGGTTCCCCTAATTTAACACTTCACTCTAACATTCATAACCTTGGATAAACCCCCATTTCTCAGTCTAAAACAATTTTGCAAAGAAGAAACTCTATTAATCTTTATTTTTCTTTTTATCTCTCAGAAATACCCTGGAGCTCATTGTTACACCTATTTTCCCCATGTTTGTTGCTGTACAATGTTATGGTAAAAAATATAACAAAATCGTTCATGTGCTCAGGGATAAAGACTGAGACAAATCCTATTTATAGTATATTCTATAGCATACTATGCCAAGGTCAGCTGGGCTCGTGAATCTTTTTTAAAACAATAATGCCTTAAAGACTTCAGGGAGGTTATCCTCTACATTGATACCAGGAAAAATACAAGAGTAGGAATTACATGAAAAAATAATCTGCCTCTTCTGTTTAACATGTTTAACATAACAGCTTTAAATCCTATCTGATATTGAGCAAAAATCTAGATGAAAGAGTTAAATCCACTGCATAAACTATACATACATACATACATACATATATATATATCGAGCCACAAAGTACAGAACAAACAGAATAGGGCCATCGGCATGTGGCAACTCCAATACATCTAGAGTCTGTATCACTTAGTGACTGTGTAATCCCTAGTTTTTGAGAGGAGACAAATAGTCACCAAGATGAAAAACTATTGATCTACCAACAACTTTAATACAACCTTGAAAGAAATTCTATTCAAAACCCAGAAGCCTCCCTCAGTGTAACAGTTAAATTACTGACTCCTAGGCAAAACAAAAATCCTGCCCTTAGGCAATTATCAGCATGATTCTTTATTTGAAGTCTTTACAGGCTGTTCAAGGGAGACCCTGATAGTTTGGCCAAAAGGAAACAACACATCCAGTGAGTAGCTCCATATAGGGCAAGAAAAATGGAGCCTCCCAGTATGAGAATATTAAATTATTATGGCTACAACGGGGGGCACAATTGTTAGTGGCCCCCTCCCACTTACGTTCCTGCTCCTCTCTTCCCTGCAGTGAGTGTTCATCGTCATATCTAATATTCAAATGCTTTGATAATAATAAAATTGTCAAGGCAATAGCAGGAAACTTTAAATAGAAACTCAACTTTCAAAAGCCAGCTGTGTTCTTCCCTGATTGATCTTCCTAAGACGCCTTCCAAAAGCAAACATTTTTATTTAAAAATTAGAACAAAGGTCCTATTATATGTAAATACATAGGCACAGGGTCTAAGTTTAGAAGCACAAATTGCACATCGTTAATTCAATACTACAAATGGTCAATAGAATGAATGCTATGAGAGAGAGATAGGCAAAGGAAATTGGCTGCATAAGGAATGGGGCAGTAGAATGGGAATGAATCTTTCTTAATTTAACATTCTGTTTGGGTGGGTGTGTTTTCTTCTATCCAAAGGCCTTTAAGTGGATGCATGAAGTAGACAAGCTCTTAAATCAGGGAACAATCGCCCATGTGGGCATTATTGATGGCACCTTGTTCGAATAAGCAGTTTGGGCTTCTTTATTTCCTTTCATTTGACATGACATTCCATTCAATAGAGCCAGTGAGGTGAGGTGTAATGTGGTTTTTAGGAAAAACACTAGTATTGTTAACATGTTCAATATCTGTACTTCTTAAGGTTGATTCAGAAAACTTTGCTCTTTTGTCCCAATAAAATAATGATTGCAGGAAAACACTTTTGCTCTCTTTTCTTAGTCAATGCTCTTTGGTCTACAGGCATTTTAGATAAAAAGTACCAATGGATCAGAAGAAGAAAAAAGTAGCAGCTGGACACTTAAGCTCTGTAGGTGGCTGCTGATAAATACAGTATTGTGACTTGCTGGCATGAGCCCTCTCAGAGTGCTCTGAATACAGGTCAAAAGGCTTGACAAATTCAGAAGTCAATTTTAAATTATAATCTATATGCATGTAAATCCTTATTCCTGCCACCCAAAAGGATATTTTTTTCCTTTCTTGGTTACATTGATATGAACAGACTTTTGTTTACCTTTCCACACAGACTCATATCAATATAGCCATCAGAATCACCAAAATGCAAAATGCAGTTT
Source organism: Homo sapiens (assembly GCF_000001405.40). NCBI lineage: Eukaryota > Metazoa > Chordata > Mammalia > Primates > Hominidae > Homo > Homo sapiens. The sequence continues at coordinate 79,057,373 of NC_000004.12, read as the reverse complement.
AAAGCAGTGGCGGTCATTGCTTTAAGGGGGAATAATCTGTTTTTTTACATTATACATGTAAAAAGAATATCCTTTAGTTAAACTTTTTGAAATAACTTTTTGGAAAGAAAAGCATTATAGAAAGATAAAGGATTGCTTATTTCCATGTTGTTATAATGTGATACCAGTAGGTACTCTTCCTCAATTCATATCATTTGGCCACATTTGCTCAATTGTTCTTTGTCTTCCAGCCCTTGTGCTTCCCATTTTCATGGAATTAATTACTAATTGCTTGTATTCCTCTTCAAAAGTATTTTCTTATTCATATATTTTTCTTATCTCCATATTGAAGTTTTAAATTTCTCAAGGTCAAGGAACCATGTGTTTTATTGACTCTTTGCATTTCTTCAAAGTAAGCCTCTCTGTTCAATGTGAATGTTTAGCAAAATAGTTGACAGTTTATAAAGAGGAAAAAAAAAGAGATATAAGAAGGCTATAAAACAATTTCCAAGCAGTGGTCATTTTTGCAGAAGTAGAGTCAGAGGAGTGGAGCTATTATATAATTCTGATGTGTTTGACTTTTTAATTATGATAATATATTCTTTTATAATAAAAAAGTAAAATAATCTTTAAAGAAAAGGAAGATCTGAAGAGGCACACTAATGTTCACCTTGAATGTTCCAATCCAAATACACTCCCACCTTATTAATGAATAGCAGAAGTGATAAGATAAGGTGAAGAGATGGAGATAAAAAATGTTATAGAGCTTGCTTCAATATGAAAAATGAGAAAATTTTTGCAAAGATGGTTTAAAGAAAAAAAAATGAGGAGTATGTACCTTTTAATCTGGACCTTGACTTAACCTATGCAAGTGGAGAAAATAAATGGTGTTATCTTGAAAAGATATGGAATGGCATCACATGATACGCCATCTACTAATGTTGGCATTCATTCATTCGACAATTTTTTTAAACATCTACTATATGCCAGGTATTTTTCTAGGAACTGAGAATTAGCAGTGAATAAAACAGGTAAAATGTCATCGTCATCACTGAATTACATTTAGTTGAGGGAAATAGACACTAAACACTAAATCATTTACTAAAACAAGGCATGGTGGTAAGTGCATTAGAGAACAATTAAGTAGGAAAGGGCAACTGGAAGTTCAGTAGGTAGTGAGGATGGTTGCAATGAATAGCTCTGTGAATTCCAGGTCTTGTCTCCTTATCTCGAATGCTGCCTTGAAGCTTTACTTCAGCCCCAGCAGGTGTAAGAGACTAGGGTTACACAGATGACAAATGCATATAAAAGTTGCTCAGTGGACTCCAATACCAGAAACCCCTGCAACCTCTTGCTCTTGCCCTGGAGCCACACAGAGATGGCCTGCTGCAAAAACACTTTCTTTTTGTCAATTACAAAATAATAAAACTTTAGGGAAAAACTAAAATCTCTTCTACCAATAGCACAAAATTCATGGAATTATAGTATGTTGGGGGTTCCTTCAAATTCAATTTCTTCCACACCTGAAATGGGTTTTATGAAAACAAGTTTAAACCTAAAGACAGCCTGGATGCCTTAAAAATGTTTACCATTAAATGGGAGTTGATGGAGGTTTTTATAGGGCCTAAAGCATATATAATTTGGGAAGAAAAGGAATACTAATATATGAACAAGAATTAGATATAAAAGTGAATAAATATGTAAATCAGAAAATAAAAGCAGATCATATAATTCAAAAGCTGACAAACACCATAAGTATCACAGAATCTAGAATAATCCAGTCTAGCTTCTGGCTCCATACATTTTAAATCTGCTTTTCCTTCATACCCATTTATTCTAATGACAGGCTTCATAGAACACAACCTCTGGCCTTGTTCTTTTGTGTCATAATGAGGGATAAATCAGCTCAGCATCAGAAGATGTTTTCATACCAAGACATCCTACAATAATTTAACTACCCCTAGAAGTGATTGCAAACTACATATCTATGTCCCACTAAACCCAAACAAAATGTGTCTCCAACTTAACTTCCCTCAGCCATATTCCAAATATCCCATGGCCACTCAGTACCACTCAACTATGGTGGAAGTAATAATCTCACAAGGTTTCCAAATTTCACAGAGAAACTGAGGCTCAGTTTGACCTGAAGTAAAAACAACAGTAAACCTCAAGGCTGGAATTTCAAAATTGGTTCTTTTTACTATGCTAAGTGTGTTTTTTCACTGAAAGCTTCAAATAATTAGCAAATAAAAGTGAATATAGGAGAAAGACAAAAAAAGAGATGAATATCACTAATTGAAAGATTTTAGTAAACAAAAGCTAAAAACTGGACCAAGTAGTCAAGGATAATATATAAACAAAGTGCAATTTAAAAATACTACAGAAATCAACTAAATAGATTCTAGCCTCCAGAATAATCTTTAGAAAAAGTATTCAATAGATGCAAAAATAGACAGGGCAAAAAGAGAATTCAATTTACCCAACACCTTTCTCTATCACCAACACCCAACCCAGCTTATCACCCACCCTTTTATCCTTTTGTGACAGCTTTCCCTATTCAGCTGTCTGGCTACCTACTGGGTGGAACAGGCTGTTTCTCACTGTGCCTCTCTCCCAGCTTGTCAACTGAAATCATCTTGGAATTATAAGCCATTGGTATATTCCTGAAATAAGATATTACATCAAACACTTCACATGTCTCTATGACAAAAAAAAACAAAGAATTTTTGAAAGAATCAGCTTGTCAAATAAAATGTATTGAGGCCCTATTATTGCTAGGTACTGTTCCAAGCTCCAGACTACTACAGGGAGCAAGACAAGCAGACTCTGTCCTCAAGGAGGTTACATTCTAAGTAGAAGCCAACAATAAGTACTTACATTAATTAAGAAAAACTTTTGAGATTGATAAATGCTATGAAGACAAAATAGTTATAAGGAGGATTGGGTGAACTCCTATAGAGCGAAGAAGTGACATTTGTGTTGAGATGAGTGGGACAGGAAGAAACCAAACACAAGGAGACCAGGAAAAATAACTTTCCAAGAAAAAGGTGCAGCAAGTGCAAAGTTCCAAAAAGGGAGATGAATTGTGCATGTTCCATTTACAGAAAGAAAGTCAGTATAGCTGCAGCTTCATGGACAAGACAGACATTGAGGGAGATAATGTCAGAGAGATAAGCAAGACTAAAATACATAAGACCCACAGCTCTATGAGCTTGGATTTTTACTAATGAGCTTGAATTTTTTTCTGGTAACAAAAGAAGTCATTGGATGTCTTTAAGCAGTAAGTAATGTGATCTTATTTCCACTCTAGAAAAATCATTCTGCTGCATAAGAGAAATAGTGCAAAAGGAGAGAGAGAGATAGAGAGAGAGAGAAAGAGAGAGAGAGAGAGAGGCCAGGCCAGAAATAGAAGTTTGAGAACAGTACATCTTAAAAATTATTTAAAGTCATGGCACTGCCTGAGATGACCTGAAGGAAAAGGCTACATTTAGTAGAAAGCAGGGCTGAGGAGAGAACTTGCCAAAGTTTAAAGATATGGGAGAGAAGGCAATTGGAATTAGCCTGATGCCCTAACTCTCAGGCCAATGAGCCAAATACAACAAGTAGTAGGAGTCTCTATTAGATCTGAACATTATGTGGGAATTGGACATAACCACCCTCTTCCAACTGCCCAGAGGTAGAGCAAGAATGATGTGAATTAAGCTTTTTCAATGCTAATATCTGCACTGAAGAGACTTCACAGATAGGGCATACATGCTTGGGTTTCTTGACTGAAGACAGTCTAGTGACTCAGGGTGATCAGATGTTACATTTGAGGAAGATAGACTCGAAGGCCTCAGAGAGACAAGCAGATGGGATGTAGGAGTAGGAGAATAGGGATAATTAAGAGAAGAAAAGAGGCAGAGCAGGGAGGAGAAGTGAAAGATGGGGAAAAAAACGGTACAAACTGAAGGTAAGAGAATGGCATAAGAGCGAAGTTATGTCACAGAGTATAGAGTAGGTGATTGTTGGCAGTAGACAGATTCTTAAAAATATTTATGTATTTAATTTTACAGTTGTTTTCTCTTTTGGCAAGTTGTTTTTGCTTTGTATTTCCATGAGTGATATGGAGTTTCAAATTTTTAAACATTTATTTAAGAAAAAATACAAAATCAGTCTAAGGAAAAAAAATTAAGGATACCAATTTCTTAATCTACAGGATCCTAATGAGTACAATGGAATATAACCTGCTTTTCAGGACTGCTGTGATGATTAGCAATGGGGGTTATAAATCATCTAGCACAATGCCTATGAGGTTTTCAATAATTATTAACTAATATAAGTACTATTAGTATTTTAAGTACCTAGCACGTGCCAAACTTAACAAAAACTATTTTATTAATGAAACCATAGAAAAACAACAGAAAAGTTTTTTAAAAAAGAAAATGGAGAAACAATTAGACTATAAGATTAGCAAAAATAAGAATGGTATTAATGATAATAATGCAAAAATGAATTGGAAAGTAAAGAGTTGATTAGAAGAAATTAAGGGGATAGGAATAAAATTAGGAGTCAGGAAGTATAGAGAACAAGACGGTGACTTAAGATTTTTAGATGGAGCTGAAGGGTCTGGTGCCAAGATGGGGCTTGACTAATTAGGTTGCTAACTAAGCACAGAAGAACAGAAACAAGTGTTCTTGACCTGGGAACCATGAGTGGATACTGGGTGATTACTAAACCTTTAAAACCAGGTGATAAAATGTTATGTATGCAAGTATGAGAGCAAGTATTTTTCTGAGAAGAGGATCCCTGGCTCCCATCAGATGTTCAGAGATTTGTGACCTCAAATTTTTAAATACTGCTGACTATGAGCCAGATCAACTAGTTAACTGAAAGTATCAAAAGCTTTATCTCTGTATAGGCAGTGTCCCAAGTTTGTCAAGTATTGGAACGATGCTGTACTTAAGGTAGCTAGAACAGAGGGGCCGAGTATTGAGCTGAATCTGTAATGAGCAAGTCATGGTCCTATCACCAGTGTTTTTCAAAACAGACTTCTGATAAGCCATGGCCAGGTCTATTATAGACCTGGTAGGCAAAGAAGCAATTGGTATAAGAAAAAATGTCACCATGGCACAGCAAGATTTCCCTTTGAAGACAATGAGATTGATCACATAATGAGATTCTAAGCATTATAGATGGTGGTGAGCGTGCCTAACTGAGTTCCTGTCTCCACAAGGGCTGCCCTGACCACCAAACCTTGGGTGTACCTCTGAGGAAAAGGTGGGGAAAGGAAAGCCATTTTCACACACTTGTACTCTAATCTCATTGTGCCCTTTTCACTACTTGTTTTCTGGTTCAATAATAAACTGAAATTACCAGCAACCTTAGACCAACAAATCAAAAGCATCTTCATATCACCCAATCCTTAGGGAACCAAAAGCCAGCCAGCCCCAGGAAGCTCTGCAGAGCTATGTGGAGATTGCTTTGGGCCTGTTTTATCACAACTCAGTACTCCCATAAATATCTTTAATTTCAAAAGCAAACTTACAATTTAGCACTTTAGTTGAAACATTGATGGGACTTACTTCCATCGTTGTATAAATAGCTCATCCTGAAAAATGTCTTCTTTGTTTATTTAATAAACTTTAATTTATCCAAACAAGAGAGGCAAGAGAAAGTGGTGCCCTCCCATAAAAGAGGCCAAATTTAAAAGGAAAACGTATTAATAGATTCTAGAATATATTTTGAAATATCTGTCTTTCCTAAATATTCCTAAACATTTATAATTTTCCCCCTACTAGCCGTTTCTTACTGCATGTTTTAAAGATGTTTTTAAAGAGAAAAATTGGTGAAGAATGTATTTCTCATGGTTGAAAGGGTGCCACAATGCAAGCTCTATAAAGACTCCAGTAGCAACTGTTAAGAAACACAGCTATCAGAGCACCAGAAGAAATTACGGTACATTAATAGATACATAAATGATTCAAACAACATCAATGACAAGATTTTTTTTTTTTTTTTTTTAATGTCAGCTCAGCATCCAGCTCTAGTAAAGAGTGACACTTTCTTGGCTAATGTGAACAACAAAAAACTACAAAACCCTGTTTCATAGTGGGTTAGGAGAACTAATTCTTGATAATCTCATCCCTTGAAGACAAGGTTCCTTACTTCAAGAGCTAGGAGAAACAGAATCCAAGCAGACATTATTAGCATAATTTTATATAGAACATTTTTAGCTTTGTATATAAATGTGAATTTCTCATCTTGGAATGTATATTTTTCTCTCAACTTGTTCCATTTATAGCTAAGAACAAAACAGGGGGTCTTGTATAGTAATGTGTAGGAAAAATATAAAGGAATATAGTTGACAGTGCCAAGTCAAACAGACATTCAGAGTCACATACATATCAAACCTTCTTATGGGAATAAAAAACAGTGACATCTTCTATTATCATGTTTTTCCTCCCAGGTGGAGCAATGAGGAGCCTGGAGTATTTGGTGACCTACACTGAAACTCACATTGGAAGGGCTTCCTCCCCTGAAAGGGTCTCCTTTTCTTTCTCTGAAGTTCCTGCTGCAGATAACTGAGTGTAGGCTCAGAGAGGTGCGGTGTGGGACAGAGAAAGGGAAAAAACCCTTTCTTCACACTCGTGCTGCTCTGAATGCGGACCATCTGTGCCCCCAGCTGGAGCGCCGGCAATGGTCTGGCACTTGAACCACACCATATTTACAGATCTAAACACAAATGGCTACTGCCTGATTGTTTCATGATTCATTAGTCAGACAAGCTCTCCTCTCCCGCCAGCACAGCTGTTACAGAGTAAACCTTTGTCACTTAATAGGCCTGATTATTACTTTCCATCAAAGGTATTGATCTGTGTCACCTCTACTTAAGGGAATGGGGGAGAAGAAAAGAGGGGAATAAAATGTACCAGGAAAACAGGAACCAGAAGAAGAAGGAGGAGAGCAAGCCAGGGGCATTAGGCGAGATCGGCGACAGTGGCTTCCTCCCTTGCTCTGTCCTGCGTGCCCTGAATATCTGGATTCGTGACTGGCTTTCTTGGGAAGAAGAGCCATGCCTCACATGGCGGACAGCCCTGCGCCCCCGAGACCACCGCAGTCACAAACTCTGACCACGCAGATCATTGCTCAACCGCGGGCGCAGGGTGAACTGAACCGGAAATCTGTATCAATTAATAAACCACGCCAGTGTGCAAAGAAAGTACAGGCTCTGGAGGGAATTTTTTATAGCTCCTTTAATTATCTCCTTTTGTTTAACAAATAAAGTGAAGCTATAACCCTGGGCTGTTCCCTGCCTGAGACGCAGGGCAGTCGCCCCTCTCGAGAGGTGCTCCTGCCTGGCTGCCAGGCGGCACAGAGCGAGCACGGGCCGCGTGGACGCCAGCTTGGCACCCTGCCGGCGCCTGCATGCTCTCCTTCTCTAGCGCACTGCCCTGGCTCTTTTCATCACTTTCCTCACTTTTTCCTTTCTTAAAAAATACTCAAAGAAACACAAAGCAGGAGGATTTCTTGGGTAGGAGAAGACAAAGGCTCTCAGAAATTAGAGTAACTCCATAAAAATCCAGGTAAAGATTCTCACCAACATCACCACCATAGCAATTATTTGAGAAGCACGAAATTTAAAAAGGGAGACCAGAAGCATCTATCCAGCTTTCTGATTCGCCTACCAGCAAAGGAAACCCAGAGAGACTAGGAAACCTCCTCCTGTCACACAGCTTTTAGGGTGGTGCACCTGAGTCTGAGAGAAAAGTCCCCTACTAATCAGTTCAGAGCTCTTTCCGTTCTATCAACCAGCCTTCCAAAAACCAGCATCCCAATTCAGACCGCAATGCTTTTAACTAATATTGTAGTTCCCACAGCCCTATAAAAAAAAAAAGATCATAAAAGAATGAGACCTTTGTTCAGAGCTTGTGGAATTAACCTCAGTATAGTCACACTTTTGCAACTATATTCATATCATACAGGAACGCCTGACTTCATATAGTACACATATGTATATGCATGGATATTATACACAAGGAACCCCAATGCATCCATGCATGAAAAATCGGCCTTGCTCTTACAACTACTTAAGAGCTCCAGCCCTCTGAGATTCCAACAGAGGCTAGTTCCCTTCTCTTTTGTCTCCATACACTCATTGTAACTGTTACCCAAATCTAGTATATTAATGAGATCTTTATGACTCTTTTCCCCCAGAGCTCATCCTCCAATTGTAAGGACATCGTCCATCCTAGTTCACAAAAGGTCAGCAGCTTTGCTAAGTACATCACTGCTTGTTTTATGGTGTTCACCACAGATGACAGATTGACTATCCTGAACATTGGGATTTTCCACGTGTGATTGTCAACAGAAGCAAGAGACAAGGCTCACCCTGCCAACTCAGTCCATTCAGAAGGGAATGGTCAGAACACGGTTTGCTTACGTTTCTATTTCCAAAGACATTGTTAATGAGTACAGCATTGATATATGAATGGGCTGTGACCCTGGGGAGCTGAACAGCCCATTTCATACTTACTTTACTCTCAGTAGGCCCCTTGCCAAGGGTACGATGCAAATGGCTTGAGAGTACTTCTGATCCAGTCCAGATTTTACTGAGTAATCTGGCAATGAAAGACCCTCTGTCCCATTTCTATGCCTATAGTTCTCTAGGTGGTTTGATTGTTATACTTGATATCCATGTCCAGTACCATCTAGACTTCTCGCCTTCCTTCTTCCTAGTTCCCAAATGGCAATGGGAATTTTACTTCTTGGAGCAAAATATAAATGAGGCATGTAGTGTGTATTTCAGTACCCTTAAAAAATGTTCCACTGAAATTTTATCCTTAATTATTTCATCAAAAACAGAATGCAGATATGGAAGCAAATGAAATCTTACTAATAGCCAACTTTCAGCTTTGGAGCTTTCCAAATCAGAGTTTCTTTTTGTAAGTTATGTCTATCAGTTGACAGGACCAATATGATTTTACATGGGTACAGTTTGCCAAACAGGAACTCCACATAATATAGTGCACTTGAAATTCATATAAAAGAAAGCTGTCAGCAAGTGAAAACATTAAAATAAAGGGCATTTGTTCTTAACAGGGAAGGAAAATCAGCTTATAACCACAAAAAGGAAACTGATTGGCAAGAACTCATGTCAAAATGCCAAAGTACTAAAAATACACTTTGATATTTGCTCTGCTTATATTCCACTTGATAATTTGGCTTTGAATCTAAATATGCATTTCTCCCAGCATATCAACAAAATGGACCTTACCTAGAAATCTACGTATGGTGACAAAGAGCACTTGGAAGTATGCTCTATTTAAAAAAAAAAAAAATCCTTAAATTTTTTTAAAGACATCTGACCAATGGTTGAAGGAGCTTAAAAAATCTTGGTGAGGCAGGAAGTATAGGTATACTCTCTGCACTTTACAGGTGGGATTCTGATGTGTTAATAAGTTCAAGATAGAGAAATATCATCAAACAATTTTTTCACAACATATTTAAAGCTCCTACATGTGGGTATCCACTATGTGGAATGCAAAAAAGCTGTGATCAGAACTCCAGGAAGACCTACATGATTGTATACAAAAACAAATATCACTAGAAAAACAATGTCCAAGATCATCCCAAGGCCTTTGTCTTTGGAAGCATGGGAGAAAATCAACTTTCTGCCTTCCAGTGTGCTCACATATTCTGGAGGTAGCCATGCAGAATGGGCTTGAGTCTGGGTACTTTCTACCCAGAGTAAAATAAAACATACATGTGCAGTCAATTAAAACAATGTGCCTTTATAAATAGGCATAACACTTGTTCTTACATAGCTACATTACTTAACTAAATATACATTGAACAGCTGGGACTAAAACCCAAAAAATACACATAGCAGATTGCAATGAAAACCTACGGTTGTATTTAGTTACCTACACATTTTAATCTGGTGCATGCAACCAAAGCCAACAGTATTCAGAGTTGGATAATTGTGCTTTCTTGCTCTTAGAAATGTCAACACCAAAGCATGTTCTGGAAAATGCCTTTTTCTTTAAATATTTTTTATTTATTTTTTTCTACATTTTTATGGGGTGAATGTACACAGAATTTTTTTAATGCATTGCATTTATATTTCTCATTTCTAAATTTAAAAGCTAACACAGTGAATCCTAAAATGTCTTCAGTCAATGTGATATGGGTGTGGATTATAAAATAAGTAAGTGTATAAATGAGTGAATAATAGCCAACACAACTCACTATGCAATAATTACACATATATTAACTCACTGAATCATAAGAATACCCTAAGAATTAACCCTATTATTACCCAAATTTTACAGATCAGTAAACTGAGACACAGAGAGGGTAAATAACCTGCCATATGATATACAGCTGTTAGGTGGGGTTGTTGGAATTCAGTTCAGGTTGTCTGGTTCCAAAGTCCATGCTTTTGAACTAAAAGTTACAGATAAAGATAATACAAAGAAAGAACGAATGAAGGAATGAAAGGAGAAAAGGAGGGAGGGTAGGAGGAAGGAAAGGAATCAAGGAAGGAAAAAGAGGAAAGAAGGAAGGAAGGAAGGAAGGGAGGGAGGGAGGGAGGGAGGGAGGGAGGGAGGGAGGGATACTGCCTCTGTAACACAATGGGGAAATTTGAAAAATGTTCTTGAGGAATGAAAGCAAGTCTTTCTGAAAACCAGAACAGGTCTTTTTGGAGAAAAGGAGGAAAGAGGGGTGTTTGATGCCAACTGAACCCACTATGAGAGGAGCTAGGTAGAGGAGAAATGACTGCATTTTTGGTCTGTCTGTGCCAGCTCTCAGGGCCTCCCTTTCATGAATGTATCCATCTGCCCCAGAATCCTAAACATTTCAATCAATACTCCTCTCTGCTTGGAGTTAAGAAGATGTCAAGGAATAAGATACCTGGAAACCTAAAATGCAAGTGTGGTAATGCATGGTCACTTTGCCACAGTGAGTGCGCTCAGCTTCATGCCAAGGAGTGCAGCCTGCCTTCTTGCCAGCAGTCCAGACATTCATCAAACAGACCACACAGCAGAAGCAGCAGGCACAGAAGCAGAAGGGATCTGTCCACCAGAAGAGAAATCTTCCACACATCCATGGGAAAAAAAAATATATACACGATGGGAAGAATAGACTAACGCTGACAGTAGTGGCAGAGTGTTTGTGATGAGATAAAGTAATTGAAACTCAGCAGTAATGCTGACTGGGAACAGAAATAGCGGGGAACAACACATCATTCAGTGTAAACTCAGAGAAGCAGACCACACAAATAACAGAAACATCAGTCATTGTTTTTTGGACTTAGGCAGACCAGGAAATCAAGACCATTAGAAGCTTTAGCACAGATGCCTGAGAGTGCTGAGGTTTGAAGGAGCAGAGGGTTTGTTTTAATTATTTTCTTTTTTCTTTGTTACATTAGGCTCCTTTGGGGTAGCTGCGTCGGGTGTTTTAAAGAGTAGAAACAAAGACTTTATCCATGTGACCCTATTTGGAACCTTTTACATTTATATTGGTGCAGGTGTTTTCAAATAAAGTCTTCCAATAAATTATGACCTTCAACTTCTAGATGAAGTAGTGTTGGTTTTCACTGTGGTAAATATATCAGAATGTTGAGTATAGTACTAAGAATTAATATAGTTATCATTTAGGGAATACTTACTGTGGACCTTTCAGGCATGGTATAAGTGCTTTATGTACATTAATATTCACAAAATCCTGAAGGAAGTGCTGTTACCCCCATTTTACAGAAAATAAAATTGAGACTGACAGAGGTTACAGAACCAGGAAATGGCAGAGTCAGGATTCCACCACAGGTTTGTTGGGCTCCAAAGCCCTTGTTGCCTTCAGAATTGTCATTAGAAATATTAAAATAACTACACTCCAGACAGCAGTCCTGAGGTTTACCCTCAGTGTACCCGTGATTGGGCTGGCACTCATGCTTGCTTGAACCTTCAACCACTGGAACAAGCAGGGGCACCACAACAGTGCGACAGTGGGAGTACTGGAAGGAGCCTTGGACGAGATTTCAGAAGAGCTGGGTTTGGGGCCTGACTAAGTTTCTAATTTTTGATTCCCTTGCACATGTTCTCATGCCTCTGAATCTCGGTTTCTAAATCTCCACAAAATGGTGATAAAGAGACCTACGTTATTAGACTTGACATTGGGTGATTAAATGAAAAATATGATATAAAACGCTCCAGAAATGAATGTTTTAAGCCTATATAGCTACGTGATACTCTTAGATGGTAACTCTCTGGTTTACACTAAAATACTCACCCAAACAGAGGTCAGTGTCTTCCCCTCATCGCTGCTTTCTCTCAGCAGCCACAGGCATTAGATGCTACCATGAGAAACATTCTCCAAATGCTAGAAATTGTGCAGGATGAGCATGAGCAAGATGACCATAAATTGGGTGTAAGCCTAGCCCTGGGAAAAAGACAGAAAAGGAGTTGGAAATTTTTGAAGTGCTCTGCATTATAAAGGACAAAAAGGGATGAATAATTCCCTATTTTCTTAATGCATGTTGCTGGGATTAGCATATAGTGAAGGCAAGAATACTAAATCCTGTTGCCTTCTGACTGCATCATTATACGGAATGTAAACATGCATGTATCTATGAGGTATTCAAAAATGCCCAGGCTTATCAAAATTTCATTTTTGCCTCCAATTTCAAAATTGTGCCCTTTTTTCCTAGAAAGCTGCAAAATCAAGACTCTTACTAGGTCTTGTGGCTTTATATCCCTTGAATTGCATTTAAATGTAGTCTCAAAGTCCCCAGATTTCTACCAACGTAACCAGAATTTTCAAGGATTTAAATTTTTAAATTAGGGATCCTTTTGAAAATCTGTTAAAAGTCATTAATCCTCTCCCCAGATAAAGGCTCATGCACACACATACACACATACACACACAGCTGACTGTACAGGAAGTTGCAGATTCTCTGAAGTCCATCCATGAGCCCTTAAGGATTTATGGGCCCCAAGTTACTCCCAGAGTTCACATGTGCTTCTGCAGATTAAAATACTGCACAATAACGCTTGGCCAGGAGGCAAAGTGGGGATTAAAATCTATTCCCCCATACCACTCATCAAGTCATGTGGTGTCCACACAGAAGGGAGTTTGTTTTCTAATTTGTGCAAAGGTGCCAAATGGCCAACTGTGGTATACTAGGGCCAGCTCACAAGCTGAGTACATTGTGTTGTCTCCTCCCAACTCCATGTTCAGTGACAGTCACAATAGTGGTTTGAAATCAGCCATAGTGGTACTATTAGCACCATGGAAATCAGCAAAACCTGCAAATTAGGGCCACACCCACTAAGAAAGCCAGATGCCGAAGATTCACCAGTACACCACAGCATGTGATATAGTAGGGGCCCTGAGAACTCGTCCTATGTCATAAGAGATTTTCAATAAAAACCTGAAAACACTATTTTTAAACCTACATCCTAATTACCTTTCAGCCTGTCCTAATTGCCTTTAGGTCAAGGGCACGTGGGCCCTGGCTTGTTTTGAGCACAAATTTAATAGTTAACAGATGCTAGAGGAAGTATGCAGAGAGATCTGTGGAAAAATTGATTCCCATTTGATCCCAGATGGGTTTAAAGACAGCATCCACAGCTATCAACCTATGTTTTAAAGCATCTGCAGCACTGATAGCAGTAACTGCCACAAGAACCATTAAAAAAACAAAACAACTAATGGTTGCATATAATTTTTAAGATAGGGATTATGAGGAAGAACTGTGGGGGAAAATAAACGTAAGACTCATTACTCCTTAAGATGGCAAGGAAGAAAAGTCCTACCCATCGCAGGTATAAATTGTTGTGGACTGATATCAGGTGTCTTCTGTAGGCTTTTTGAAGAACAGCTCTTTACAACTGAATTCTATCTTGAGCTAAGCATTCTCTTAGCAAGGAAAAAGAAAAAGTCAGGTCAAACGATTGATTCCATTTCTGAATTACAGAGGGTTATTGATTTTTCATTAAGGTTCCTGTGCTGCCCTCAAGAGCAGGGAAAGAGAAGGGAAAGTAATTCATTGATCAGAGCGGAGGGCCATGTTCATTTATTGGCTTCCTGCCACATCCCATTATTACCGGTTCTAAATGTATATTGAAGCCAGTTTATTTTCATCATAGCCTCCTGTCATCAGAAGTGTCTCCGAGTAACTATTAGTTTAATCATCCTTTTCTCACAATGGTAATGAGTGATAATATCCAACGTGATCCTGGATTCATAGATATTATTCATTGGATTGCAGCGCTGCCCCTCACAAAGCTCTAGTTAAGGGTCTGCTGATGCTTTCATAGTCTAAAAGACATAATAGCTTGAGAATTTTTAAATACATGTATATATTTGAAATAGAAAAACTGTAGTGCTTTCACCATCGTTTTATTTATTTTTTAAAAAAAAATCCTGAAAGATTCACGTTTGTTAACCTGTCAATTACGATAACTTTAGGCAGTGCAAGAAACCCATCCAAATCAGGTATCATAAGTCTACACCAGGACACTGGAAACCAATCCAGAAAATCATAAAGCATGTCCAGAATAAGTCATGTATTCCACTGAGTACACTAATTTTATTTGTGGAAACAATCTTGAATTAGTTTATGCGTCTTGACTTACATTTGAATTTTTATTTTACATATTAGCAAACTGAGGTCCCAAAAGACTGAATGGTGCAGGATCACCCAACAGAGTGGCACCGTGGGGACCAGGACTCATGTTCCCTGGCTTCCCAGTCACTGTTTGTCCCGCAATACCATTCTAATGATCTGTCATCCAATTTCAGGTGATATTTATAATGCATAAAATGAGAAGCTGATATTGACTTTAATATCAAATCCTGGAAATGCTACTAATGCTTTTTCTTTTTCCCCATCTCCAGATAAAAACTACTGCCTGTTAAGTTCTGCCTCACACCTAGGTAAATTAATCAGCTGCCCACATTGTATAATAAGAGTGCCTACTCTTCTGAGTGGATTTTCCCAACACCCTGTGAGAGGCAGGAAGAATTCTCCCATTTCATAGATAATTTGGCCAAGGCTACATGGGAAATAATTTGCAGAGCCTGGACTCAGATTCAGGCCTTCTCAATGATGAGGGCTTTTTCCACTACCCTACAGCTCCCTCTGGTGCTGAAATTAACAGTGGGAACTATTAAAAATGACTATGAAAAACTATTTTAAAGATGTATCCCAGTAAATTGAGCTAGAAAATACAGTAGAATAAAATATCTTATTCAGAGTAGCAATCTATACAAAATGCCTATGAATAACCATGACAAAAATATGTATGGAACTTATCTGACTAAAAATAGACTACTGAAAAAAATGTAAAATAAGATCTGACTAAATGAAGAAACACAAAATACTTAAATATGTCGATTTTTTCCAATGTAACATTTTGGAAGAAGGTAGATAACATTATTCTAAAATTTCTCTGGATGAAAAATCAACACACACACAAAGATATTTTGGAAAAAAAATTAATGAAGGAGCACTCAGTCTATCAAATATAAAAATGAAATTTAAAACCTCAGTATTTGAAACTAGTCAAGAACCTGTGTAAAAATTAACAATTGGAAAACTATTACCTATTTGAAAAAATTAAATTTATCCAATTTAATTTTGAATGCTCATTTTACAAGGTGCACCAAAATGTATTTTAGATAAAGAGTTAAATATTTTGGGTTTTTTAAATACTATAAAATAGGAAGAAAATAAAGATAAATATTTAACTTATGTAACTGTTTTATCAATATAAAACCAGTAGAAAATGAGAAAAAATAGATTTTACTACATTAAAATTTAAAATGTCTATTCAAAACATCACAAACTACAAAAATTAGAGATGCAAATCACACACACATGCAAAAAATGTTCTATCTCACTAGCATTCAAAAACATTGATTAAAATAACATAAAATTTTTATCTACTGAATTAACAAGATTGTTTTAGATAATAATAATCAAGACTCTAGTGAGACAGATGCTATCATACTTTTGATGGGAGAATAAGTATTTCATTATTTTAAAAAATATGATCTTATGCCCCTGAATTTGTATTTCTAGAAATTTAGCCTAAGGAAATGACCAGAGATGTTTTTAAATATAAATGTGTACAGAAATATTATTTATAAGAGCCCAAGAGGGGAAATAATCTAAGTAAAAATAGAGGTACTCTTTTTTTTTTTTTTTGAGACAGAGTCTCACTCTGTTGCCCAGGCTGGAGTGCAGTGGTGAGATCTCAGCTCACTGCAACCTCTGCCTCCCGGGTTCAAGCGATTCTCCTACCTCAGCCTCGTGAGTAGCTGGGATTACAGGCGCCCCCTACCACACCCAGCTAATTTTTGTATTTTTAGTAGAGACAGGGTTTTGCCATTTGGCCAAGCTGGTCTCGAACTCCTAACCTCAGGTGATCCACCCACCTCGGCCTCCCAAAATGCTGGGATTACAGGCGTGAGCCACTGCGCCTGGCCAAAATAGAGGGATTTTTAAATCGGACACAACCATATGATAAAGTAACACAAAAACATAAAAATCATGTTTGTCTGAACTTTTATTTAGGTTTGGGGATGCACATGCAGGTATATTATATAGGTAAATTGTGTGTCATGGGAGCTGGGTGTACAGATTATTTTGGCACCCAGGTAATAAGCATAGTACCAAATAGGTAGTTTTTCAATCCTCACACTCCTCACTCTCTCCAACCTTAAGCAGGCCCCGGTGTCTGTTCTTTGTGTCCATATGTACTCAATGTTTAGCTCCCACTTATAAGTGGGAACATGCAGTATTTTGTTTTCTGTTCTTGTGTTAGTTTGCTTAGGATAATGGCCCCCAGCTCCATCCATGTTGCTGCAAAAGACATGTTCTCATTCTTTTTTATGGCTGCACAGTATTCCATGGTGTGTATATAACACATTTTCTTTATCCAGTCTACCATTGATGGGCATTTAGGTTAATTCTATGTTTTTACTATTGTGAATAATGCTGTAATGAACATATGCATGCATGTGTTTCCATGGCAGAACAATTTATATTCCTTTGGGTATATATTCAGCAATGGGATTACTGTGTCAAATGGTAATTCTGTTTTGAGTTCTTTGAGAAATCACTAAACTGCTTTCCACAATGGCTGAGCTAATTTACATTCCTACCAACAGTATATAAGCATACATTGTTCTCAGCAACCTTGCCAGAATCTGTTGTTTTTTGACTTTTAATAATAGCCACTCTGACTGGTGTGAGATGGCATCTCATTGTGGTTTTGATTTGCATTTCTCTAATGATTAGTGATGTTGAGCATAAAAATCATATTTTGAAGGAAATTTAATAATGTGGGGAAATGCTCATTCATAAAAAGAGAGAGAGAGAGAGAGAAACATTGTGGGACCAAAGTTATAAAGACTGAAATAGCAATGGGAATGACGAGACAGGGATGAATGGGAGAACAATTTAAGATTTAGAGGAATGGGATAGGATCCTGTTACTAAAAGCATGTGTGGAAATAGGGGTGAGCACTGGATTATGCCCAGGATATCTGCTCAGGTTTTGGGTGAGTAGGGGAGGCCATTGCCAAACTAGGTAATACACATGAAAAGGTCGAAACTTGACCTGACTCTCTCCAATATCAATATAAGCAGTCTGCTTAATACCCATCTTTCTTAATCCCATTGGATTTTGGTCCCCACTACCACCACAGGAGCATTTTAGGTATTAGGAAAGCTCACTATGTCTTGCCTCTTTCTGACATAGCAGACCATGCAGTCTACTGACATTGAAATTATGTTCAATGTAAAACTGCAGCTACATGGAGATGCAGAGAGATATCCACGTTATTGCTGCACTGAAAGCTCAAGTTGGGGGTGTTCTAAAAGGTTTAGGAATCAAGAAGAATGTACAAAAGATAAGCTTGCCAAAAACACCAAATAATTACTAAACCTCTACAGCGCACATAGCACTCAACTGGATAGCGAGAGGAGTATAACTATGTGAGAAACTGTGTTTATGCTTCAATAGATTTTGCCAATAAAAGTCTTGAGAATATGAGGAATAGCTTGAAAGAGAGATATATTTTTATAATCTACATAACTTCTTTAATTAAGCAAAATAAGTATATTAATAAGAACTTAGTGTAGTATTTACCAGGTTTAATAGTCAGATTGGATAATCCATGTGCATGTAATTAAAACTAGATCTAGAAAGTGTGTGACAGCTTGTGTGCAGTATCCATGATCATAACCTCCTCCAAATTTCTCCAAATTATAACTAATTTCAATTTAACCATATTGCATAAATTTTACACTTATGACTCAGTGATAATATTAATCCTTCTTCCCCCAAAGAACATATTTGTAGGCTAGAGAATGGTTCCTTTCTGCATACTATTAAGATATTTGGTTCCACTAAGGTTAAAAATTTTTCCATGAAAATTTTGGACTCAAGTATTCCTATAACTGTTCCCTTTTTAAAGTTTCCCTTTCACAGGAATAATAATAGTTCTAATATTGAGGCAGCAAAACTTAGTGAAATGAATTACAGCATGAAAGCTAACCATACCTACATTTCAATCTCAAATCTGCGTTCATGGGCAAGACTTTAACTTCTCTGATGCTCAGTCTCATATCTATTAATAGTGCAAAATTGTACCTTTCCCTAATTTGAGGGAAAAAAATAACTTGCCAGAGTTGCTGTAAGGACTAAAGATATTGTAAATCATCACCATTAAAATAATTTACTATTCTATGTATTTTCTCTCTATCATGTCATTTAATTCCCAGAACAATCCTATTCTTTTCCCCATTTTAAAAATTAGGAAATCAAGGCACAGAAAGGTCAAACAAGTTGGCCAAGGTCATACACCTAGCAGCAGAGCTGAGATTCAAACCTGCATAGTCTGACTCCAGAGACTTGGTGCTCCATCACTACACCAGCCTACTTCATAAGAGCATCCTTCAAATGGAAGTTGTTAGAAATAATAACTATTGTTGCTGTTATTGTAGTTGTTATGACTTGCATCGACAGTGCTGCTTGTCAAAGAGCTCCTTACCAGTTCCTGTTCTCACAAGCAACATTGTTTTATATTTGTTTTCATCTCAGAACCAGAATATCATAAATATGTGTGCATTTGTTAACAGTAACTCCTTAAATGGTTAAAAGTCTTACAAATATAAATCCGGAAGCTATCACACCTTATAGTTCAAGGTAAAAAGGAATGGCTGATGTAAATTATGTCAGTGCACCGTCAACATAAACCATCAGGACACTATATATTACTGAGCAACCTCCACTCTGTACATATATCTTGATACAAGCAATACTTTTGACACCAATCACTTCTCCAGATAAAATACAGTTTGTAGGGGAATAATTTCAGCAGTACATAAAATGGCACTGTCCCACAAAAGAAACATTTATTTTCATACAAAAAATATATGTTTACAGTGTTGAGTAATACAGTCACCAAACACAAAATAAATGCAGTTCTTTACTTCTCCCCAAATTGCTATATTTTGTCTCATTTTTCCAACCTAAATAATAATTTCTTACCCACAACAGAAAGTGATTGTTGAGATTCAGTCCTTATCAAATATTTAGATAACTAAATATTTCCTCTATGCTCTTTTTTATTTTGGGATTCAGGAGAATTTCTTCAGCAAAGTAAAACATCATTCTAAACAATACATGTGATGCTACTTGTTAACAACAGAAAAACTATTTCAGTATATAGCACATACCTCTCCCCCACTCACCTTATCTCACAAGTCTTGCATTGATAACGGGTATCTACTATCTGTTGTCTTATCTAAAAAGGCGTTTTCATGATCACTGCATTTAACATATTCTGTGGCCAACATTAAGGTTGTTGTGTTTTTATCTAGTATAACACTCAGCACGTGGCATATTTCAGACTTCTAAGAATGCCACACACCATAAAGGCATAGATTATTACCATCCAACTACAACCAAGAGAAAACACCTGGTGGTACGAATCAGAAAATGGCTTTCAAAAATAGAAAATGAAATTTGCATATTTTAAAATCTTAATTTGGTTCCTTTAAAGTTAAAAAAAAACTCCATGAGAAATTCAGACTTTTAGGTATTCTTATAGTGTACCCTGCTTTTATGTTTCCCTTAAAAAGGAAAAGCAACTCTCATCCGGAAGCAGCACAAGTTACTGAAATACATCAGGTCTGGGAGCCAATCAGACCTAGTTCAACAATCAAATCTGTCAGTAATTTTCTTAACTTTATACCATACGCTATATTGATGGAGCTGGAAGCAAACCACAAGTAACCCTTTGATTTTATCAGTCCGTTTCTCTGAAAAAGTTTTAAATCAAAGTGTTAGGCCTACTCCAGTATTTCCATACCTCTCCTATTCTAAGAGCACATGGATAGGTAAAGCCAAATCAAATAAACTCTGACCATAAACCATTTTGCTATGATTTACAGTAACAATCACAATTATGTATTTGAAGTCATTGAATATTAAGAGAAGCATAGGCCAGCAAAAGGAAATGTATTTTTAATCTTTATCAAAAACAGAAGATGTTCTCAGCCTTAATCCTTTAGGTTTGGCCTAGAAATAAGAATTCATATTGACTCCACAGTTTTCTCAGAAAAAGAAAATTATCAGCATTGGAACATAAAATTATTATATAATCCAACCACTATGAGAGGCAAAGAGTGGATTGGAAAAGAGGGGAATTACATACTTCCAGATATCCTATAAGAAAACAGTTACAATGTCAGACTTTATGACTAATTTATGGTGCATACATATTTGAAATAACTACTAACTTTTTTAAGAAAGAGCTTTGGACCACACCACTTGTTGTATAATAAGGAATTTGACTGGTCTTTGTTCCTTGTTCCTGGGATTAAGACTCTAAATCCTTGGAACTTCCCCAGTAAAAGAAGTGTCTTTGTTATTCCTAAGTTCCTTGGATCACACCTGAATTTGTGTTGAGGTAACTCATGGTGGGACCCCAGATAGCTTCAGAATGGGGGCTGATCATGTTATTAGAAGATTGGGGCTTTAAACCATGTGATATCAGCCCAACTTCTGGACATTCAGCGAGGGTAGGAAGACTGAATGAAGATTGAGCTCAATTACATGGACAATGATTTTATCAATTATGCCTACATTATGAAACCCCAGTAAAAATTCCCAACACTGAAGCTTGAGGGAGCTTTTTGGTTGATGAACACATTGATGGGCCAAGAGTTTGATACACTCTGAACCCACTGAGAGGCAGCATGGAAGCTTTGCAATCAGGATCCTCCCAGCCCTTGCCCTCTGTGTCTCCTCATTTGTCTGGTCCTGACTTGCATCCTTGACAATAAAACTGTAAGTATAGCACTTTCCTGAGTTCTATGATTTATTCTAGGGAATTGTCAAACCTGAGTTGTAGTCATGGGAATCCTCTGGATTTGTAGCCAGTTGGTTAGCAATGCAGGTAGCTTGGGGCTCCAATTTTTCATCTGGTATCTGAAGTGAGGGCAATCATGTCAGGGACCATGTCCTTAAAACTGTGGAGTCTGGTACTCACCTTGGGTGGTTAGTCTCAGAACCTTATTGCAGTACGTCACCACTGAAGAAGAGAATGCCTCCTGTAGGTATCTAAATGCCTATGGTTTTACCTGAAACTGGTTAAGAAAAAACTAAGAACACTGTGTTGACTGTCGTAGTTATATAACTGGAGCATGTCAGAAGAAGAATGAAACCTGACTCTCCAAAGCTAGAATGCCTCTAACACATATTATACCATCAGATCATTCATGCTTCTATCATGCTAGACCCAGTTTTAATATCCCCCAAAAATATATTGGCAATGTTGTTTTATAACTCTGCAAGACATCAAGTTTGATACTGGTCTCTAGACCAGTATCGTAACATTGTTTTTAAAGAAATTTGAGATAAATAATATAGTTTCTATCTTCACAATTCATAAAATACTGACAGGGATATCTACTTATTAGATTAAAACATAGCTGCCTTTTAATTACCTAGAATTCTTTGGACATATCCATTTTCTGCTTCTTGATTTTATTTTCTAACACTATAGTATAAAACAGACTGAAACTTTATATTCATATCACAGATGAATTCTAAATATAAGTCGAATTTATAATCTACAGTCCTGTATAGTTTATGTAATGGCTATACAGGGAGAGCCACCGTGCAAACAAGAATGTAGGCAAAATGAATTCTTTCATAATCAAATTCTCCAGTTATGTTTGGACTTGTCTCTTGAAAATTATTTTCATTTGTTTTTATTTTTAGAAACCTAAAGTATATTAAAGGCCAGCATTATAGTGTAATGATTCTAGGTGTTACATTGGATCATAACATAAAGCTATCTCCCATCAGGGCACAGTGGCTCACAGCTTTAATCCTAGCACTTTGGGAGGTTGAGGCTGGAGGATCACTTGAGGTCAGGAGTTCAAGACCAACCTAGACAATATAGCAAGACATCATCTGTAAAAAAAAAAAAATAATAAAAAAATAATTATCTGGATGTGGTGGCATGCCCCTGTAATCCCATCTACTCAAGAGGGTCAAGGTTGCAGGGAGCCATGATCATGCCACTGCACTCCAGCCTGGGCGACAGAGAAGACCCTGTCTCTAAATAAATAAATAAAGCTATCTACTTTATTGCACAATAGTCAATACTAAACTCTTCTTCCCATTAAAAATTATTCTAATTTATTTTTGTCACATGTTTGTTTTAGGCAAAAATTTTCTAAATTTTGTATTCTTAGTTATTTGTGAAATATTCATCTTCTTTCTTGAAAAATCCACATATATTTTTCACTTAGTAAAAGAATAATAGAATCGCAGAAATGAAAAAAGTCTCAGAAATGAACAAAAGGCAATTAAATGATTTACTCAAAGGTACACCACTAGTGAGGCTAGTAAGTGCCAGAATCTAAGATTTTTGCTGCATAATTTGGGGCGTGTTTAACTACATTATTACTGTTTCCATCATTGGCTATTGTAGTCAAGGACTTCAAAGCATGTTTGGAAGAAAACAATTACCGAATACAAGTTCCTTTGGGCAAAAGAAAAAACTAAATTCTTGCCTTATGCAATACTTCATTTTGACCATCTTCAAATAAATCATGTTGAGAAAACAAATGTCAAGCATAGCTTAACAATAAGACCTGCCAAGACTTCATATATCAATGTGCAAAAAGGCATGGGAATACTACCAACAAGTTATTGATGACAAAATGTTATATTGGGGAATGCAGGGCAACTTTTACGTTTTACCTTGAATATTTTGCATGGTTTGAATTTTTATAGCAACCATCTTACTGCTGTAACTGTGTTAACTTTGAAACTCAAACACTATAGAAGATTCATTGTTTCACAACATTTTAAAATTGGTTTGGATCCAGCAATTTCTAAAACCTGGCTAATTTACTTTTGCATAGTGAAAAAGAGCAATTAGCAAAGAATACTTTCCTCCACAGCCATAGTCTGTTCATTTCTGGGACAGTGTTTGTGGCTCTGAATCAAAAAACATCAGAATAAACCTAATGATATTTCAGAAGTTTCAGGGATGAACACCTAAGAAATGAGAGGCATAGTTATATTTCATTCTGTAACTACGGAGCAGACGGGATGTATCACTCAAATTTATAAAATCACGAAGGGTATAAATAGATGACCACTGATTCAGTCACCATACCTTGAAAACCTAGGACTGAATCTCACCAAAAGCAAAAGGAGGAAGCTTTTAAATTAAATAAGATACTCCTCAACATAGCTAGCAGCGGTATAATTTATCCTACTGAGGATCTTTTGGAAGAAACTATGAGAACTCAGAATCTAAACATAAGAAACAGTTGAGACCAATTTACAGATATATCTGTAACAGGATATAAGAATAGCTAAATACAAATTAAATGGAACCTCAGAGTTCAAAACAATCTTTGCCATGTCTTTTTCAGTAACTAAGCACTTTTTAAAATGGGAAAAAATGCCAAAGTAGAGGAATAATAATTATAACATATTTATAAAATGCACACATTTAACAAATTAGCACGTTTAGCAGAATAACATACAACATAATATGACTGGGCTAGTCACAAGAAAGTAACAGAATTTTAAAACACAGTATAGTTTTGAGATCTGATAGATAAGAGACTGAGGTTTTATGGTGAACACCCTTCACTGTTGCCAGCATGGGACCTAAATACATAGGTCCCCCAAATTGGGACCATTTATGTACTGGAGATCTGAGCCCAGAGTGCCCCCATCCCACCACAGTGATAGCTTTTGGGTTATATTTACTTTCTGAAGGTTACTACGAGACTACAACAAAATTCTGTTGGTATCCCTGCCAGACAGAGAATATCGCATTAGATTAACCAAGGATCAGAGGTATTTTCGTATTTATTGTCTTAGGTAGACAGAGTTAATATGCCCTGGTAGCAACAAAATTTCTTGAGGACCTCAATGAAATGTTAGAAATGCAATCTCTTTTTCTTTTTTTCTTTTTTTTTTTTTAATGGAGACAGGACTCTCTCTCTGTCTCCCAGGCTGGAGCAGAGTAGCACGATCATAGCTCACTGTAATCTCAAGTTCCTAGACTCAAGCAATTCTCCTGCCTCAGCCTCCTAAGTAGCTAGGACTACAGGCATGCACCACCATGCCCAGCCAATTTTTCTCTTTTTTGTAGAGATAGGGTCTTCTTATGTTGCCCAGGCTGGTCCCAAACTCTTTGTGTCACATGACCCTCCCACCTCTGCCTCTCCATCCCTGACCCAATCTCCATTCATAAACCTACTTTCTCTGCTCTAGAAATAGAGTAATATTCAAATACTCGGAATAAGCATTCTGACATTATGGTATCAGGGTCACATAATCTCAGATGCCATGTGCATTGGCAAGCAAAGATGAAACAGATTCAATAAATGTTCAGTGACGATGAATGACTGAATATCTGGATAAACAGAAGAAAGAAGAAAAGGAAGGAGAGAAAGGAAGGAAAGAAGGGAGGCAGGGAGAGGGGTGGTTATTAAGAGAGAGGGTGGAAGTGGGGAGAGAGAGAAAGAAACAAGGAGAGAAGGAAAGAGAGCAAACAGCTGTCCATTTGGGTAGTATAAGGAATCAAACTGGATAATTCATGCCTAAACTCATGGGGACAAGTGTTGAAAAGCCTATACTGGAGAGAAGCAGTGATTTGGTAGAAACATGACTGATTTAATGTCAAAAGATTTGCCCCTAACTAGCATTGTGACCTAAGACAAGTAACAGCCTTAACCTCAGTTTCGTTTTAAAATAAAGGCATTAGGTAAGATTGTCTTTATATTTCCTTCAAGATCTATTATAGTGTGATTCCATTTCTCTTTTTGCTGTGTAGCAATTGTAATCAAATCAACGGACAGAAAAGAACCTCAGCAGATTATCAAATTAATGAGGATAAAATGAAATTGAAGATTTAAAAGCTCCTTAAAAAGTATTATATGTTCTATAAGCATTAGGTATTATTATCTCCATTATTAATACAAAGTGTCTGATGTATAAATTCTAAAATAGAAAGCACTTTAGATAAAAATTTTCCAAATGCCTAAAAGCAAGGCCATGTATCAATTTAAGCAAGTGTCAAATTTGAAATACATTTATACTTAATCTTTTTCAAATCTTTATTTAGGGTGACTTTGAAGTTCCATAATAAATAAGTCATTTATGTTTACTCTTTCTACTTGATTGTAAGGATCTTAAGAGTAGGGATCATGACATTCATCTATGTGTATATATAACCAACAGTATGAGATGACATACAAATGAAAATTAGTTATAAACTGCAAAGAGCTCTACTGACTCTATATTCCTTATAAACTATAAGCAGCAATATACACTGACCTCTAAACTGCAAAGTACAGAAAGAGAAGGAATAGGTTCTCAATATATGTTGGTTAAATTTAAATTACTGGAACCAAAGGAACTCGGTTCAGAAAGTTATGTAAAATAAAGGTGTAATCTATATAACAATGAGTCTACTAAAGAATTCTTCTCACAAGTTCATTCCAAAAAGTATTAACTTGCCAAAGATATCTAGAGTGCATAACAGTCTTGTATCTCTGATGCTAATAATAACCATAAAGTGAAGAATCCGGCAAGAAAAAAATGTTCATGAAAATAGAAAAAAAAAAAGTGAAAAACTACATTGTGTAAGATGGCTAAACAACAGCTGTTCTCTAGTTTATCAATGCTTCATCTGTGTTTCTGTAAAATGCCTGAAAGTAAAACAACTGGAATTCATTTATGAGCCCCACTTTCCATAATCTCATATTTTGTCATTATGTCAGTATTACAGTGATATAAATCTGAATTATTTGGCTCACTGTCAACATAAAATTCAAACAGGAAAAAAATGCAACAGAATGAAAAGTTTCAAAAAGTAAAATAAAACTTCTTTTCTGCGTACAAAAGCTCAGTGTCCAATCCACCCCTTGCAACAATCTCTGATTATACAATTTGATGAAATTTATGTGGACTTTGTTTATGGTACCAGTCTCCCCAGCAACATTTTAATTACTACAATTTTGAATTCCTCCCTACAATATTTGTGTAAAATTCTTATGATTTCTTTAATTGACAGCCGTCATTGGCTTGTTTTTTCAAACCTATCACTTTGAATTCCTAGTCTTGCTATTACTGCTAAAGTATCTTCTAGAAAGAAAAGGGGGAAAAAGTAGCTGACTCTAAAATATTAATATAAACTGTTCAGCGATAGAATTCAACACACTGAACATTTTTACTAGTAATTCTAATATTTTCCTATTTGCTTTATTGGGCATATTTGTGTGCTCAAAGAAATTTGCTAACAAAATGTCTGTTATAGTTAGACACAGTAAGTTAGCCTATAATTTGGAGGTACAGGACCCTACCAGGCTTAATTGGAAATGCCTGCCTTTGATCTGTTTCCTAGATGAGAGAAAGCAACCTGCATTACGGGAGAAGTTCAAAATGTCAACTGGTAGAATGCACATAATACCTGTGTAATGGCAATCAATTCATCATCAACCACTTTTTCATGATGACTTCGTCAACTGTTTATTGATTAGTTTCTCATGCACAAACACTGCAGACAGATACCAAATCATAACAAATGCCAGCTATTAAAGGGTAGGAGGGACAATGCAAACAATGCTTTCAAATAATAAAGGAATGTAAAAAAAATTAAAAATTTAAAAATCTAAACCTTTTTCTCATGATGAAGACTTTTAGATTCCACACCTCAAAAATCCCATTTTAAAAATTTATAACAAAATTGCTGCAGTAATTTATTAATACTAATATTATCCTTCTGATGGATCTTGTATTAATGCTGTTAATCTTTATCTACATCATTTAAATATTCATCACCATATTTATAGAATATTCCGCTGAAAGAAACTCAAAATAAATGGAAATGGTACTTCCAAAACCAATGGATTTAGAGAATATTCCCTTTAAGATTATAATATTTATAAGCTTGTTTGAGGACTATTTTTTAATTGAAAATTCTCCCAATGGATTTAGTATAGGATTTAACTTGAAAAGCATTTTAAATATAACTTATATATTTACTGCTAAAACCAACATTACTAAAATTCATGATTTAGTCATATTACCTGCAGGTTTACTTAGATCATTGCTCTGACCTAGGTCCTGTCCACCATATTATCACCACAGCATAGCAAATGTCCACTTAATTAAAGATGAAAAATACTAGCTCTGAAAATTTAATGAGCTCTGTTCTGTAAAGTAAGTTTGAAGGACAAAGGGCTGTTTTTATTGTGTGTGTGTGTGTGTGTGTGTGTGTGTGTGTGT
Organism: Homo sapiens; assembly: GCF_000001405.40. Classification (NCBI taxonomy): domain Eukaryota; kingdom Metazoa; phylum Chordata; class Mammalia; order Primates; family Hominidae; genus Homo; species Homo sapiens. The sequence goes on along the minus strand of NC_000004.12, from coordinate 79,029,568 downwards.
GTGTATGCATGTGTGTACTTACAAATGTTGACTAATATGTAGTGTTTATCCCAATACTATTTACCCAAAGGAAAATAAATCATTCTACCAGAAAGACTCATGCATTCATATGTTCGTCACACCACTATTCATAATAGCAAAGACATGGAATCAATCGAAATGCCCATCAATGGTGGATTGGATAAAGAAAAGATGATACATATACACCATGGATTACTATGCAGCCATAAAAAAGAATGAAATCATGCCTTTTGCAACAACATGGATGCAGCTGGAGGCCATTATCCTAAGTGAATTAATGCAGGAACAGAAAACCAAATACTGTATGTTCTCACTTTTAAGTGGGAGCTACACATTGGGTACACATGGGCATAAAGATGGGAAGAACAGACACTGGGGACTACTACAGGCAGGAGAGAGGGAGGAGGGGAAGGGCTGAAAAACTACCTATTGGGTACCATGCTCACTACCTGGGTGATGGCATCATTCATACTCCAAACCTCAATATCATGTAATATACCCATGTAACAAACCCACACATGTACTCCCTGAATCTAAAATAAAAGTTGAAATTATTAAAAAATAAACAAATTAAAAATAAAATGATTACCAGATATTTTCTATAATTTTGCTACTATAAATGAAATTTTCCCATTTTATTTTCTATTTCAAAAAACCAAATATGTAATGCTTATTTTCAAACTTGCATAATCAAGATTTCTCAGGTACCCATGCAAAAAGGAAAGAAAAAAAATGGAATCATCCCTAAACCTCATTTAACCATGTAATGTTAACGTTACCTTCTCCTACTAATACCTGCTAACAACTAGCTAAGCCAAATGTTACTCCTTCTTCTGTGCTGACCAATAAGAAATGAAAGTGACATCTGAAATTCAGAACAAGAGTTAAAAAAGAGCCCGTGAAGTATGGATAATCCAAAAATACTAAATAACTTAGAGGTAGCCACATTTTACTAAGTTCTGAGAAATACAGGTCTATTTCATTCTCATCCTTTATTTTTAGGCTGTGTGAATTTCTTCAAAGATAAGGAAGACAGAATAATCTTATTATCAAAGACTAAAGGAAGAAGTGTTCACCTCTTCCATGGTGGTGTCGTTTCATATGGTTTAATATTACAAGTTTACACCAACTTCTCTGCCAAACTCAAAATACACTGCAGCCTCCTACTTTTTCAGCAAAACCTCCTCCTTTCCATGATGAGACCTAAAAGATATATTTCCTAAAGTCATTCCAAAGATATGTTCCAGTCATTTTCTTTTTTCTTTATTTTTTATTTATTTATTTTTTTTGAGGGTGTCTTGCTTTATCACCCAGGCTGGAGTGAAGTGGCATGATCTCGGCTCACTGCAACCTCTGCATCCCCAATTCAAGCGATTCTCCTGCCTCAGCTTCCCAAGTAGCTGGGACTACAGGTGCCCACCACCATGCCTGGCTGATTTTTTGTATTTTTAGTAGAGACAGGGTTTCACCGTGTTAGCCAGGATGGTCTCGATCTCCTGACCTCGTGATCTGCCCGCCTTGGCCTTCCAAAGTGCTGAGATAACAGGCATGAGCCACCTATATATGCGGTCACATAAACCAAAAGCCTAAAACAAAATCTGCATTTCTAGACATTCATTCCAACTGAACAAACATTCATTAAATGCAGTGGTTAAAAGCAGAGGACTCTGTGATCAGAGACCTGGGTTCCAAGTATGACTCAGCCTTTTATTAACTACATGCGCTTGGACAATTTACTTAACTTCTTTGAGCCTCAGTTTGCTCATGTGTAATATTGGAATAAGATTATTATTGTGAAGATTAGATAGAATAATGTACATAAGTTATCAGCACTTTGCTTCTTGACCTCTAGAATATAGAACTCCCACCCACTACAGGAGCCTTTATACAAGCTTAGTTTGTCATTGTTCTATTTATCATATATTTATACTTATAGATGTAAAATATATATGTAAAATTTCTGATTAATAATATTTATCTTGGAAAGATAAATATTTATTTCCTTGGAAGAATATATATACTTCCTCTTATTTCCTTTTTGATTCATCTACTTTTTTCTTCTCATTCTTGGTTTCTCCCTGACCCCTTGCCAAAATTTTTCTTTCTTTCTCAAGTGAAAGTCAACACCTTAATGTGGTGACAAAGAGTTAGTAAAAAATGATAAAAAAAAACTTTAAGCCAATTAATCCTCCATTTCTTTCATCTGTTTACCAGACATACTCACACACATTCACACACACTTAATACCTGGCCTCAATTCATTCAAATGACTCTAAGCAGCATAAGACTCTTAAGCTGTAACACTGGCCCATATACCAAAGTGACCAAATCTGAGTTACCAATGTTGCATCTATATCTATCAGCAGACTTAAACCCTTGGCTCTGGTACCTCTTATCTTTAGCAACAAAACCTTCTCAAAAGGAGACAACCAAATAAGAAAAATCACTTTTGAATTACCAAGTGAGGCTAAATCATGTGATTACAGTTAAGTATTAAAAGACAAACAAATATATAAGAAATTAAATCCCTGGGCCCCTGTAGATTTCACATCAAGACATGGTACACGGAAAGACAGTAAAAACTGGACTATAATTTTTTAGAATGGGGGGAGGAATCAGAGAAAACCAACAACCTGCTAGTCACACAAACAGCACCATTTGATTCTGAAACAACTTCCACTTTGATATATGAAGCATCTATATCTGCATGTATACATCTTCTAAAATATTAGAATAACATAAACACTTTCAAGATAAATATGATTTATCAGAAATTTTACCATGGACATACTCTAATAACAAGAAAATAATTTAATTCCCAAAATTAGCATGAAATGATTTTTATTAATTTATAGAAATATTCAATTCTACATTTTAGAAATACCAGTTATGCAAATTATTCTGGATTCATTTCTTCCAAAAATTGAAAGTATAGAATCTGAGTCACCTAGTTTCCTTCAAAAATAAAAATATAAATATTCTGATTAATATAATCTGCTCAGACCAAAAATCCTGGTAGAAAAGAAATTTTCTTTGACTTCAGATTATTGAAATAGAGAGTATGGGGATAATTGTTTTGATCGCCTCTTCACTTTGCCTGCTGGAAGCACAGCTAGTATCTTCAAATAACCTGACTCGGAAAACTTTATCCTCTATGGTTCCAGAACATATTGGCAGATTAGTATTTTTTCTTGATAGAAGCACACAAAAGTATCTATAATAAAAATCCATAATACAATAATTATTTTGTAAATGCGATATCACGTTTCTATCTGTGTGGATACCTTTAATGACAACAATGATGATATTGTATTTAAATTAGACTTGACTGATTTAACACTTGTGTCGCTCTCTATTCCCTTACCTGTTTAGTAGATAAAGACTTGGGCTCTATTTTCAGCTTTGTCTGGTATGTTGACCAAGTCTCTTTATCTCCTCTACCTCTGTCATCTGTACAATGGATAAAATACCTTCTCTACATATATCACAAAATTGTGAATCTCCATTTTGACAAACATCTACTAACTAAAGGGGCAGAAGAGCTTTAACTGTCTTGTGTATTCCACAAGAACATATCATGGCGACATTTACCTAGTAAGAGCCAAACAAAATCATTGTACACAGATTCCCATAGATCCAGGAACACATTTTCTTTCCTACAGGAATTCTTCAAGGGCCTTAGTTTTACAATGGTACTCTCTTCTTTAATTCCTTTTACATTTTGGTAAACACAGAAGCAACCAGATTATAATATAAAAATGGGTATCTCTTTCACAAGCTTACTTTCTTAACTGTCATGTATGTGGATATCTTTTTTTCTTCAGCCAAATAATAAAGTCCATCTTGCATAGACCATACTTTTTAGACCCTCACATAGTGCCTGACATATAAAAGTACACAGCAAAAATTTTTACTTATTCATTTGTCAAATATTTATTGAGCACTTATTATGCGGCATCTCCTAAGTTGGTGCCAGGAATACAGCACTTGGACACAGACTCAGTCTCTCTATCCCTCTAAAATTTACAGTCTAGGAGACTTAAAGCAAATATTTGTTTAACAGTCACTCATCAAATATTTGTGGAGCACTCACCGTAGGTCAGGAACAAATGATTACTTAATATTTCTATATTTACAATTGTAATCATTGTTCTTAATAAAGTAAACAAGGTGCCGTGAGTTCATATATGTGATGCATTTAGTTATCACAGCAGGTCTTTATGAATTCAATCCAGAAATATCTATTGAACTCTTACACAGGTGAGAGGTTTCACAGAGACCTTGACTGATCCTCTCTCCCAGGTGAGAGCTCTCCAGCTGCACCAGTGCATGCCTCTGCCAAGATGCCCTTTTACCCTACATGCATGCATTCTTTACCATGACTGTTGCTGCTGTGACCCATTTCTCTGTAATAAAATTGGTCTGAAAATCATAAAAACAAAATTTGGATATGCCAGTCAGGTAACAAAACCTTGCTTTTAAAAAATACTGTAAAGTTTTTGGCTAATTATCAGATGCACATATGACTTACAAAATATTTTAATGGCAGATAGTATATGCCCTACTGAAACCCTCACCACAGTCTATTATGAAAGGAGGCAGCACGAGAAACAATATCTATATTAAGAAACTGCTTGAGAAGCTGGTCCACTCAGCTTTGAGAGACATCTAGTTCAATGAGGGAGAGGGTGGACCGAGGGCAGGTCCCTACAGATATAAAATATGATTCTAAAGTGAGCTAAACTGCTTCTAATAGAGACCTTCTATTAATAACCCGTCTGGATTTGATGGATCACATCAGTGGGACAAATAAAATGATGTTCTTGTGAATGAAATGTGGTGGTTCTTCCTTCCTAAAAATCAAAAAGGAGTGATCCAGCCTACCTAACCTGTCACTTTCATCCCATTTACAAGTGGGAAAGGAGCCTCCAGGGCCTCCAAAACAATTAAAGCTGGGTCTGCTTTCTCAGGAAGGGAGGTCTGGAAGTGAGAGCCTGCGGGCAAGGCAAACCCCTTCCACCAGCCAAGTTCTGGCAAAAGGGCTAAGCTAGGACATTACATGCTAGAGGACAAAGTCACAAAAGCAACGTGGAGAAAAATTTAAACCCTGCCCTCCTTTTTCATTCCTCCTTTTTCATCCTTCCAAAATCTAGCCTTCAGTTTCCCAAAGCGGAGTCTTCAAAACCCCCTCCTCCCCAAAACATATTAAACAAGAAGAAGAGGCAAGCAATGAGATAAGCCCACCATTGAGTGTGCACATGAAGATGGGCCAGAAGGGTATGTTGTTTCTTTGAGCTCATCTCACATGCAGCCAGCTGAATATAAATTTCCCTCTATCTCATCAAGCTCTCACTGTTTGGCCTCCTCTGACTGATATTGGCTCATCATACTTAATCTAGGGTGAAATTTCCTCATCTGAGCTAAATTACTTGCAGCCATCAAGGGAAGCGATATTTATTTTTCGTGGGGCTAATGACCTGTCCCCCAGACCCACCCACTGATGGTTATTTACTGGGGCCCAGATGCTTGAGCTCAAAATGAGTGCTAATGTCAGCAGGTGCCATCCCTCATTCAGCTCAGTGATTGAATTGGAGCGATCCCATTGACATTGACTGTGTGACTTTTAAGGCCATTACCCTCAGCCAGAGATGAACCTCTCATCATGGCGATGACAGTGACAGCTGATTAGCGACAAATTACAAGCAGGAAGGTGCAGAGGCTTTATTGGGCAGGGCAGGACCAGTGGTTAAGGGTGAGAGGTGTGGGGATAAAGAGCAGAAAGGAAAGAGAGGGACACGAGGAGTAAGAGGGGAAGCAGAGAGAAAATAACACACATTCAAAAAACACACAGTGTATTTTTTGATCAATTCTTAACTGTGGCCCCTGTGAATATTTATATTTTACATCTATTTAGTACAGTTAAACACACAGAGATTCATATTTCTACAGACACTCATGGCTCAGCACATAATCCTTGAACAGGCAAGAACTCAGATCTAGTGAAATTTAGGCTGTAAAAGGAATGTAACAGTTTAGTATATAGACTATTCAGGCACAAAGAATCTTTGAACAAAGCAAATAATTTTTTCTGACTATTATTTTTGTATATGTGAAATTACACTGACAAAAAAGTCTTACAGGAATTTTTTTTAATTTTTGTGGGTACATAGTAGTTGTATATATTTGTGTGATTCATGAGATATTTTGATACAGACATGCAATGTGAAATAATCATGATGAGAAAGGGGTATCCATCCCCTCAAGCACTTATCCTTTGTTTTTAAAACATTCATGTAGCCAGATAACTGAAGTAAAATTCTATGTGGATTGGTGTTTGAAGAATACAAATGCAAAGTTCTAATATTATCTTAAACCAGCCTCACTTTAAAAAGCCATTCAGTTCTTCAAACTGTCTACTCAGTAGACTTAAAATCAAAGCCTTTTCGATTTTTAACTTAAAAATAAGAATTAAAAAATATTTCCTGAACTCTCTTAAGTTGAAAGCATTTTTTCTTTGCTCTGTGTTAGGGGGATGTGGACTGGCTTGAGAAGTTTTATAATTGTTCCCATGGTTCAGAATCTTAATATGCTAAATGTGAATGTCCGATTGAGAATGACAGGTAGGTAACCTGGGATTTTGAAAAACAAAACCTGAAGATGCCAAACACTGACACTGATTTTTGAGGTCTGGACACTTGTTACCAAAGAGCAGTTGGACAAAACGCCCCAGGTTCCAGCACTACATGGAGCACCCAGAGAGTGGGTCTCGACAGCAGCAGCAGCACCTGTGCAGCACAGCAGCCCGGCCAGCCGCCTTATGCTCAGCCAGTTCACCAAGCAGTGGCAGGCAAGGGCCAGTCTGTTGAGAAACATCAACGCCCGCCCGCTCGTGCAATGCAAGGCACTATGAAAAAAATTAAGGAAAAGGATAATAGTATCTATCCCCGCTGCCTCTCAATGCCTATAATTAATCTCCCCTTTTTCAACCTTTCCTCCTTCCACAACTGGTGTCCTCCTTGAATGCAGTTCTTTCTTAGAAGTACCTTCCTCCTGTCTGGGACCACTGCCAACATATCTGGTAGCAAATATGGCAAAATTTTTTTTTTGGTCAAAAATATAACAAAGTCTAACCTCTCTTACAAGATACCATTGTGCATGGTTGAAGCTGGCTAAACATCTTTTCCCAGCTCTGTGGTCAATGAAGTCAGACTGGAAGCTTGAAATTGGCCAATGTGGAAATAGTGATACCACTGAAATTGGCAAATGCTACAAATAAAGACTTGTTTAACATTTTGTTTTGTTCTCTCAGAGAGCCAGTTGTTTAACATTTACCAGAATACTGCATGTGATGCTGTCTGTTGTTCAGAAACACATTTGAACGTTGGGGCAAGGCTGGCCTTTCAGAGGTTGGGAGCATACGTAGAGAGAAATATGGCCCTGCTATATGCCTTTCTATCTGCTTGTTGATAAATCTTCATTGTCAGTTTCCATGGCAGATGTGCCTATTTAAGATTGATAGCCAAAAGGGCAAGAAGCATGCTTTATGATTAAGTACTATTACACAAGAACCCATGGTGGAATCAATACATACTTAATAATCATTGTCTTATCATAATAAAACATAACATTTATTCATATCAGTTTTTAGTTTGTCTCATATTTGAAAGGAGTCTTGCCTGTTGGAATGAGAATGTTCAATGTATTTAAATGAAAAACACCACCTCAACTATCCCTAGGCAATAAAGGAAGCTGACTAATCCACTGATCTTTTTGAAAATGCATGAACTGATAGTGAGATTAGAAATCTTTTGTTCATGTTAAAACACAGAAAACATTAAAGCTTTAATCAAAGAGTAAATATTACTTTCCATTACTAAGGAGACTAAAAATTACCTTGTCTCTCTGTATACATTCGTTCTCTATCATATCCTCTCCCATGGCTTCAACTGCCACCTGCATGCTGCGGACTGCACAAGTCCCTCTCCCGTCATATCCAGCTGCTTACTGGACAGGTCCATTTGCTGATCTCATGAGTACCTCACACTCAGCACATGCCAGTCAAAACCCAGTCACGAGATTCCCCCAGAAATCTGATGCTCCTCCCATAGTCTCTATTTCAGGAGACCAGGTGCCCAATCACCACCCTAAAAGTCATTCTTAACACTTCATTTGCCTTTGGCCCTTAATGCTCACATCCAGTGAACAGTGGAATTCTGCAGATCTTATCTTCCAAATAGTCCATCCACTTCTCTCTTCATGAAGCTAGTACTCTAATTCAGTGCACTGTCACATCTCATCTTGATTAATCCACAACCTTATCACTGGTTTTCCAGCCTCCAAACCTGTAGTTTTTCCACTCTGTTCTTCTGTTCTCTACTAAGCAGCCCCAGCAATCTCCCTAAAACAAAAAGCTGACCAGGTCATTCTCCTATTCAAAATCCTTCAGTGGCTTCCAAAACCCTTAACATGCATTACAAACCCTAGATGACCTGACTCCTGCTTTCCTCTTCATATTAAATCCCTCATATTCTCCATATCACTCTAGGATAAGGCCACACTGAACGGCCTTCAGTAACTTTAATCTACCTTGGTCTCTTTTTTTATTTTTATTTTTATTTTTTATTATTATACTTTAAGTTTTAGGGTAAATGTGCAAAATGTGCAGGTTAGTTACATATGTATACCTGTGCCATGCTGGTGTGCTGCACCCACTAACTCGTCATCTAGCATTAGGTATATCTCCCAATACTATCCCTTCCCACTACCCCCACCCCACAACAGTCCCCAGAGTGTGATGTTCCCCTTCCTGTGTCCATGTGTTCTCATTGTTCAATTCTCACCTATGAGTGAGAATATGCGGTGTTTGGTTTTTTGTCCTTGTGATAGTTTGCTGAGAATGATGATTTCCAATTTCATCCATGTCCCTACAAAGGACATGAACTCATCATTTTTTATGGCTGCATAGTATTCCATGGTGTATATGTGCCACATTTTCTTAATCCAGTCTATCATTGTTGGACATTTAGCTTGGTTCCAAGTCTTTGCTATTGTGAATAATGCCGCAATAAACATACGTGTGCATGTGTCTTTAAAGCAGCATGATTTATAGTCCTTTGGGTATATACCCAGTAATGGGATGGCTGGGTCAAATGGTATTTCTAGTTCTAGATCCCTGAGGAATCGTCACACTGACTTCCACAGTGGTTGAACTAGTTTACAGTCCCACCAACAGTGTAAAAGTGTTCCTATTTCTCCACATCCTCTCCAGCACTTGTTGTTTCGTGACTTTTTAATGATCGCCATTCTAACTGGTGTGAGATGGTACCTCATTGTGGTTTTGATTTGCATTTCTCTGATGGCCAAGGTAATTTACAGATTCAATGCCATCCCCATCAAGCTACCAATGACTTTCTTCACAGAATTGGAAAAAAATACTTTAAAGTTCATATGGAACCAAAAAAGAGCCTGCATCGCCAAGTCAATCTTAAGCCAAAAGAACAAAGCTGGAGGCATCACGCTACCTGACTTCAAACTATACTACAAGGTTACAGTAACCAAAACAGCATGGTACTGGTACCAAAACAGAGATATAGATCAATGGAACAGAACAGAGACCTCAGAAATAACGCCGCATATCTACAACTATCTGGTCTTTGACAAACCTGAAAAAAACAAGCAATGGGGAAAGGATTCCCTATTTAATAAATGGTGCTGGGAAAACTGGCTAGCCATATGTAGAAAGCTGAAACTGGATCCCTTCCTTACACCTTATACAAAAATCAATTCAAGATGGATTAAAGACTTAAACGCTAGACCTAAAACCATAAAAACCCTAGAAGAAAACCTAGGCATTACCATTCAGGACATAGGCAAGGGCAAGGACTTCATGTCTAAAACACCAAAAGCAATGGCAACAAAAGACAAAATTGACAAATGGGATCTAATTAAACTAAAGAGCTTCTGCACAGCAAAAGAAACTACCATCAGAGTGAACAGGCAACCTACAAAATGGCAGAAAATTTTCGCAACCTACTCATCTGACAAAGGGCTAATATCCAGAATCTACAATGAACTCAAACAAATTTACAAGAAAAAAACAAACAACCCCATCAAAAAGTGGGCAAAGGACATGAACAGACACTTCTCAAAAGAAGACATTTATGCAGCCAAAAAACACATGAAAAAATGCTTACCTTGGTCTCTGTTACCTTTGAGCTCACAAGCATTTTACCTGGAATACTCCTACTCCTCTCCCAAAATTTTGCTGACCCCTACTCATCCTTCAAATCTAAGATTAGACATCATTGTCTGCAGGAAGCTTTCCCTGACTTCTCAAGGACAGCTGGTGAGATGTCCCTCCATCCTTGGTATTCCTACTGGGCACTATAAAAAGCACATTGTATTTTGACGGCTAATCTCCTGATGTTTTTGGCACTAACATGTAAAGTTTGTTCATTATTATATTCTCTAATCTATGCTCATGCTGTGTACACAATAAACACTCAAGAAATATTTATTGATTGCTTAGATGAGCAAAATGGATTAAAATTAACAGTGAGTCCTGATAGCTAGGAGATGGTTGTCAGACTGCATATTGAGAGGGCTGTGCCTTCAAGACAGAATAGGTCCCAGATTTCAAAAGAGCTCTTGAGACTCTTCCCCCTTTCAAAATCTTCCTCTTCATGTATATCTGCTGTCTTTAACTGCACACTTTCCCAAGCTTTGTCCTGATGTTTACCCATGTGAAACTGATTTCTATGTGGGACTCACCAACACAGTGACTAATGTGCTTACATCCTGACTCGTTTTTGGTGCCCTCCACATTCTCCCTGATTTAACTCTGGGTACAGATATCCTAGCCTCACCTTGACTACTCCGACCTATGCACCAACAGCAGTGTACGATCATCTGCTAGGCCTTTTTCTCCAAAAGACAAAAAGTTATTGCTTTGTAAATAAAGCAAATTTCAAAAGGCCATCTCAGAGGAGTAATTATTCTCTGACTAGAGAATCACATAGTTACTTTGAACACTGCATATGTGAATTTACTGTCTACAAACCTTTGAATTGCATTTCTCTCCTAGGAAGAAAGAGAGAGAGATTAAGTTCTGAGGATCCAAAATTGCAGCTGCTATGGTTTGAGTGTGTCCCCCAAAACATGTTAGAAGCCTAATCCCACATGCAACAGCACTGAGAGATGACACCTAAAAAGAGGTGAGTAGGCCATCAGGGCACAGTGAATGCACTAATGCCATTGTCAAGGGAGTGGGTTCATTACTGCAGGAGAGAGTTCCTTATAAAAGACAAGCTCAGCCCATTTTGTCTGTCTGCCGGTCTGCCTGTCCATCTCTCTCTCTCTCTCTCTCTTTGCCCTTCTGCCATGTGTTATCTTCTTCCATGGGATGACAGTGAAAGAAGACCCTCACTCACCAGATGCCATCACCTTGACACTGGACTTCCCAGCCTCAAAAACAAACTGTGAGCCAGTAAGTTTCTGTTTTTTTTATAAATTACCCAGTCTCAGATGCTCTATTATAGCTGCACAAAACATATTAGGACAGTAGCTGATATTTATAACCAAGGTAACTTGGACTACAAAGCCAAGGAAATAAGCAAGGTAAAATGCTGCATAGCAAAGCTAAAGTGTAAAAAGAAATATGCAGAGTTCAGAGGATCATCAAAACAGAGTGGGATGAGAGACATCTATCCAAGTCCAGGTAGGAAACCAGAGAAGAAGGGAAGCAAGTGCAAAGGAATCAAAAGGAAGTTGGATGCTGTTGTAAGGCAGTGTCCTGGAGCCTTCATTTTTATAAGTCACCAGGGAACACTGACAGTGTGGGTCAGCCCAGCCTAAAAAGACAGATGCACAGGTCAAGTGTATGAGAAACTGTAGGGTATTTATGGCTACTTATTAACAGTGTGACCCTGAACAAGCCACTCAACCTGTCTAAAACTCTTCCTTTTTACCTGAAAAAAACAGGATTATCGTATATATCTAGTAGATTTATGGTAGGAACTGAGACAATGTACATAAAGTGCTTAGGTCATAACCTGGCACATAATAAGTGTTTAATTACTAACAGTAATTATTATTATGATTATTACTATTTAGTTTGAAATTTTAAAAGTTGCACAGATCACACCCATAAAATGTGTGTCTCCATGTACCAACAGTAGTATTAGCTACATAATTAAGATTTATTATAATAGTTCTTAGGCCTGTTGAGATTTGGTAGGTCAGTAATGAAATCACCCTGTCCCCCTTCTGAATTTACAACTAATAGAAAAAAATCATACAAAATTCAGACAGATGGAGATCAAAATGTCAATTGTGTTAGTGATAAAGTTGGACTGGAAAACCTGGGTGAGGTCTGCAGCCACAAGGCTGGCTGACACTCCCCTGAATTCGACTCAGGCACCTGGGCACCTGCACCTGGACCAGCACAGCTCAAAGCTGTGCTGCCAAGTTCACGCCGAGTAGGAAAGCTGGCTGGGCTGCATTCTCTATGTGGGCCTAAGAGGGAGTGGGCCACACTGCTCACTTCTCCTCCCAACTTAACCATCAGGCCAGGCTCTCCTCCTGCTCCAGGGGCAGAGAGAGGCTGGTAGGGCTTATCTGATCAAGTTCTTCCCTAGAGACAAGAGAAGTGGGGAGTAAGTTCTCCCACCTAGGATGGCTGCAACCACTGTGCCCTAAAATGCTTGGTTCAGAACTTACCTGAGAATATACATGCCTTCAGTCCACAAAAGCTCATGGAACTGTACTTCATTAACCTAACTTTGCTTTCTTGAAAGAACACTATTAAACTGTTTAATTGTATACATTAGTGTAAGACACAAAAGACAACTAATTTTCCACAGTGGCCCTTGCATATCCTTGTCCCCTCAAGCTGTTTCTCCCTACCCTTCTCACACATAGGCTTAGTCTCTGTTCTTTTCCAGCCCTCTTAAAAGATTCAAATTGCCCAATAATGGTTGTTCATTCACAGAACAATTTTTACCTCCTTTAAGAATCATCCTTAACCAAGTCTTCCAGAAACTGGCTCAACTTCTACTGGCCTCATCCTGCTAACATCCCACATCTTTCTCTAAGTTAAAATACTCCTTCAGAGTTTCCTCAAGCCCAGTGTTCTCAAATAAAACCTTAGACCAATGGTGCTCTGGGCTTCTTTTTCCACACTGGTATTCTGTGTGGGATCAATCTACCTGACTCATGGGCTCAGACTGGCCTGTGTTGCAATATTATTGCAATGCATATTAAACAAGTGCAATATTTGAACCTATCAAACCAAGCCATCTTAGAAATTAAAAAATTCTAGAACTGAGAGAAAGGGGCTGTTGGCCTCATAATAAACTGAGTTTCCTTAAATGGTCCTTATGGTCTGAAACTATTAACTGCTTATTTAATTGTAGCCTTCTCAGCAAATTCAGGTTACTCTATCAACCTCAATGTGATTTTAAGTTTGATATGGCAAGATTATGTATGCTAGAAAATGCACAAAAACTCAAGGATGATGAATAAAAAAATAAATTTACTTCACCAAATCAACAGAATCCATTTATCCACAGTACTCATCTTTTCAAATAAGTCAAAATATTACTTTCTCAGAACCTATGCTGTACAGTAAAAATCAAACGGTAGAGAATGACGATGGCAATGCATTTTCTAGTGCTTCACATAGTCGTGCAGCCAAACAGTCCCTGAGTCTCTAAGTCCAGCCTGCTGTAAGTTAAAACAGTAGTATTATCAGAGAATGAGGAAAGACAATGAGCCTGTGATCCCATGAGGGGCCCATTCACCATGGTTGTGAGACGCAGTATCTGCACAAGATAATGCTCTCCTCACCATTCTGACTGGTCAATTTGGATGACATATTTTGGGCATCTCTGCTGATTCCATGACTGCAACTTGTACACCGTCCACAAATCCCCATCTGCAGCTACAGATGGTCCACAATTTTTTTCCAGTGTTTATAACAGCTCTTGGAGGTGGGGGTGGGGAGAATGAAGGTTTCACAGCCAAGCTGCCCTAGTCAGGTGAGTGTTCAGGCCTGTTGAACTACAGGGCATCTAAACTACAAATTGACAGAGCTATACTTATTCAGTGCTGGCAAGCCATGTCTCAAGAAATATGCTGCAAATATATACTAACACTGCCTAACAGAAAGTCATCTTTGGTTCACTGCATACTACTGATCTTTAAAAATTGTTGAATTATTCTTCTAGAATAATTTACACCTCCAATTATAACCTAGGTGCTGCAAAGCTGTGCTCTCCAATGTGGTAGCTACTAGTCACCTGTGGCTACTTAAGGTAACTAACATTAAATAATATTAAAAACTTAGTTCTCCATGATGCTAGACACATATAAAGTGCTCAATAGTCACATGTGGCTAGTGGCTACCGTATTAGCACAGAAATGGAATACTTCTATTATTACAGAAATTTTCTCTGAGGAATATAGATTTATCAACAGTGGATATTTTTGCCATAATTTTTACTGACTCTTAACACCTTCAAACTTGCACAATGCTTTTTTTCTGTCCCATAAAGATCCTGCAAGACGTTTTTACAAGAGGATCTTTGGCTCCCATTTAGAAGGCACCATAGTGACTCTCCTAACATATCTTGAAAATCTATGGTGACCCATTGTCTCTAGGCAGTTAATTAACTGAATTTTACATTTTAGACTCTCGTTTCCTCTGCAGAATTGAGATGACATATAGACTTAGAACAAATGTATTACTGCATTAACTTTCTCAACCTTGTCTGGCCGGTTTACATTTGTAACAACTAAATGGGAAAATTTTCCTGATTTATCTTACTTAAGGAATATAATAGGTAGCAGAAATGCTAATCATTCCCTATTCTAATCCTCAAAATATTTTCATGACAGGTGTATTGTTCTTATTACATCTACATCCCATTGTATTAATGAGAAAATTAACACTTAGAGGGGTTAACTTGTAAAAATAATTCAGCAGAGCCAAGACATGAACCAGGTCTATCTGACAACAAACTTGTTGCCCCCATCCGCTGCACTAGACAGCCTCCTGCTGAGTTAGGTGCCTTATGAAAGCTCATAGGAGCTTATCCAAACAAAGGACAGTGAGCACATCTATATTACGATTCCTTAAATCTTCCATAGAGTTTATGATGCAAGCAAGAAACATGCTTTGGTAGCTATATTAGTCATTGGCTCCCAAACCTCATAACTGTTAACTCTACCCAGAATAAAGAGTAAGGAAAACTTTCTGTAAATACAGGGAGATTCTTAATCGGTCACCTGACACAGCAAATGACAATAGCTTATATTCATACACATGAACAAAAAGGTTTGGCAGTCAATGCTTATAGGTTTTACCTTTTCTTGGTGGGTTGTTTCCCCTATTCCCTTCTGCGCAAAAAAGTAATATTGGTAGTAAAATATATATAAGAAAGACTAATACATATGTTAAGTCATGATTGAAAGTTTGCCATTTCTCCATCAAAAATTTAATCGTGCAGTTTTTCACAAGAAAATTGACTCACATTGTTGGTGTCATTAGCAAAATTTCCTTTCAGCCAACTGTTGTACTTCCTGTTATGTGCCAGTTGGCTGCTATCTTCCATAGCTGAGGCAGCTGCATTTCAGCAGTGAAAGAGGCACAAAGAAATTGAAAAGCTTACTGGGATTTCTTACGATGAAAGGAATTGTATGCCTGTGTGCATGCACAGAAGAGGATATAAATAAACCTTCTCCAAAAGAGAAAGTACATATAAGATAGTTGAAAACCTTAAATAGAAACTTCTGAACAATTGACCTACTCTTAGTGATTAGGCTTATCATCTTCACATGACAATGAAACATTTTTAAATTTTAATTTAAGTTTTTTTATTTCCAAATTTTATTTTAAGTTCAGGGGTACATGGGCAGGATGTGCAGGTTTGTTCCATAGGTAAATGTGTGCCATGGCAGTTTGCTGTACAAATCATTCCATCGCCTAGGTACTAAGCTCAGCATCCATTAGCTATTTTTCCTGATACTCTCCCTCCCTGCAACTCCCACCCTCTGACAGGCCCCAGAGTGTGTTGTTCCCTGCCATGTGTCCACACATTCTCATCATTCATCTCCCACTTATAAGTGAGACCAGGCAGCATTTGGTTTTCTGTTCCTGCATTAGTTTGCTAAGGATAACGGCTTCCAATTCCATCCAGGTTCTTGCAAAGGACATGATCTCATTTCTTTTTATGGCTGCATAGTATTTCATGGTGTATATGTACCACATTTTCTTTATCTAGTGTATTAACAATGACAACACTTTTATTATTGCTCATGTCATTAGCCTACCTCAAATCTGTTTTAAACATTATTCCATAAGACAGCCCTGTTCAATTGTGCATGTAGTACACAGCACAAACCTAAGGGAACTATTCACATGACAGATCTCACATATTTCTATATGTATTTAAATAATAAAGTTATCCTATTAAAAAAGTAGAATATTATGATAATTTTCCATCAAATGATAGCAAAGGTTTTGAGGAAAGGATGCCTTTGTTAATACATTCAAAGTCATCACAGGAGTTAGTTTGTTTTCTTTTTTTTTAGTAATTCTCTATGAAGACCTTTTTAAGATAAAAATACATTTGTTAATATTGTGATTGATTGTTTATGAGAATGTACTTTTTAAACTTTTTTTTCTTCAACTTTTAAGTTCAGGGAGATGTGCAGGATGTGCAGGTTTGTTACATAGGTAAACATACACAGGTTTGCTGAACAGATCATCCCATCATCTAGGTATTAAGCTCAGCATCCTTTAGCTATTCTTCCTGATGCTCTCCCTCCCCACAACCCCTGCTCCGACAGGCCCCAGTGTGTGTTGTTCCCCTCCCATCCCAGTGTCCATGTATTCTCATTGTTCAGCTCCCATTTATAAGTGAGAACATGCAGTGTTGGGTTTTCTGTTCCTGTGTTAGTTTGCTGAGGATAATGGCTTCCAGCTCCATCCATGTCCCTGCAAAGGACGTGATATCATTCCTTTTTATGGCTGCATAGTGTTCCATGGTGTATATGTACCACATTTTCTTTATCCAGTCTATCATTGATGGGCATTTAGGTGGATTCCACATCTTTGCTATTGTGAATAGTGTTGCAATGAACATACGTGTGCATGTATCTTTATAATAGAATGATTTCTATTCCTTTGGGTATATACCTAGAAATAGGATTGCTGGGTAAAATGGTGTTTCTGCCTCTAGGTCTTTGAGGAATTGCTACACTGTCTTCCACAAAGGTTGAACTAATTTACACTCCCATCAACAGTGTAAAAGTGTCTCTTTTTCTCTACAAATTCACCAGCATTTGTTGTTTTTTGACTTTTTAATAATGGCCATTCTGCCTGAAGTGAGATAGTATCTCCTTGTGGTTTTGATTTGCATTTCTCTAATCATCAGTGATGCTGAGCTTTTATTCATATGTTTGTTGGCTGCATGTATGTCTTCTTTTGAGAAGTGTCTGTTTATGTCCTTTGCCCACTCTTTAATGTGGCTGTTTTTTTGTTGTATTATTTAAGTTCCTTGTAAACTCTGGATATTAGGCCTTTGTCAGATTGGATAGATTGCAAAATTTTTCTCCCATTCTATAAGTTGGCTATTCACCCTGATGATAGTTTCCTTTGCTGTGCAGAAGCTTTTTAGTTTAATTAGATCCCATTTGTCAATTTTGGCTTTTGTTGCCATTGCTTTTGTCATTTTCATCATGAAATCTTTACCTGTGCCTATGTCCTGAATGGTATTGCTTAGAGTTTCTTCTAGGGTTTTTATAGTTTTAGGTTTTATATTTAAGTCTTTAATCCATCTTGAGTTAATTTTTGTATATGGTGTAAGGAAGGGGTCCAGTTTCAATTTTCTGCATATGGCTAGCCAGTTCTCCCAGAACTATTTATTAAATACGAAATCTTTTCCCCATTGTTTGTTTTTATCAGGTTTGTGAAAGATGAGATGGTTGTAGGTGTGTAGTCTTATTTCTGAGTTCTCTATTCTTTTCCATTGGTCTGTGTGTCTGTTCTTGTACCAGTACCATGCTGTTTTGGTTAAAGTAGCCTTGCAATATGGTTTGAAGTTGGGTAGCGTGATGCCTCCAGCTTCGTACTTTTTGCTTAGGACTGTTTTGGCTATTCAGGCTCTTTTTTGGTTGTGTAAGAATTTTGAAATAGTTTTTCTAGTTCTGTGAAGAATGTCAATGGTAGGTTCATGGGAATAGCATTGAATCTATAAGTTACTTTGGGCAGTATGGTCATTTTCACAATATTGTTTCTTCCCATCCATGAGCATGTAACATTTTTCCATTTGTTTGTGTCCTCTCTGGTTTCTTTGAGCAGTGGTTTGTAGTTCTCCTTGAAGAGGTCCTTCACTTCCTTTGTTAGCTGTATTCCTAGGTGTTTTATTCTTTTTGTAGCAATTGTGAATAGTTCATTCATTCATAATTTGGCTCTATGCTTGCCTGTTGTTGGTATATAGGAATGGTAGAGAATTTTTCACATTGATTTTGTATCAGACTTTGCTGAATGTGCTTATCAGCTTAAGAAGCATTTGGGCTGAGATTATGGGGTTTTTGTAGATATAGGATCATGTCTTCTGCAAAAAAGGATGGCTTGACTTCCTATTTCAATACTCTTTATTTATTTCTCTTCACTGATTTTCTTGGCCAGAAAGTTCAATACTATATTGAATAGGAGTGGTGAGAGAAGAAATCTTTGTCTTATGCCAGTTTTCAAGGGGAATGATTCCAGCTTTTGACCATTCAGTATGATGTTGGCTGTGGGTTTGTAATATATGGCTCTTATTGTTTTCAGGTATGTTCCTCCAATACCTTGTTTATTGAAAGTTTTTAACATGAAGGGATGTTGAATTTTACCAAAGACCTTTTCTACAGCTATTGAGATAATCACATGGTTTTTGTCTTCAGTTCTGTTTATGTGAGGAATTACATTTATTGATTTGCATATGCTGAACCAAACTTGCATCCCAGGGATGAAGCCAACTCTATCATGGTGGCTAAGCTTTTTGATGTGCTGCTGGATTTGGTTTGCCAGTATTTTATTAAGGATATTCACATCAATGTTCATCAAGGATATTGGCCTGAAGTTTTCTTTTTTTGTTGTATCTCTTCCAGGTTTTGGTATCAGGATGATGCTGGCCTCATAGAATGAGTTAGAGTCCTCTAAAATTGATCACATAATCAGAAAACACTCCTCAGCAAATGCAAAGGAACTGAAATCATAAGAAGCAGTCTCTCAGACCACAGCACAATCCAATTAGAACTCAAGATTAAGAAATTCACTCAAAATCACACAACTACATGGAAATTGAACAACCTGATCCTGAATGGCTCCTGGGTAAATAATAAAATTAAGGTAGAAATCAAGACGTTCTTTGAAACTAATGAGAACAAAGCTACAATGTACCAGAATCTCTGGGATACAGCTAAAATAGTGTTAACAGGTAAATTTATGTCCACATCAAAAAGCTAGGAAGATCCCAAATCAACACCCTAACAATTCAACTAAAAGAACTAGAGAATCAAACCCCAAACAAACCCCAAAGCTAGCAGAAGACAAAAAATAACCAAGATCAGAACTGAACTGAAGGCGATAGAGACAGGAAAAACTCTTCAAAAACGAATGAATCCAGGAGCTGGTTTTTTGAAAAACTTAATAAAATAGATAGACTGCTAGCTAGGCTAATAAAGAAGAAAAGAGAGAAGAATCAAACACAATCAAAAATGATAAGGGAGTTATCACCACTTACCCCACAGAAATACAAACAACCCTCAGAGAATACTATAAACACCTCTATGCATATAAACTAGAAAATCTAGAAGAAATGGATAAATTCCTACATACATACACCTTCCCAAGACTGAACCAGAAAGAAATTGAATCTGTGAATAAGTCAATAATGCATTCTGAAATTAAGGCAGTAATAATTAGCCTAACCACCAAAAAAAAAAAAAAAAAAAAAAACAGCTCAGGACCAGAAAGATTTACAGCTGAATCTACCAGAGGTACAAAGAAGAGCCAGTACCATTTATACTGAAACTATCCCAACAAACTTTTTAAACTTTTGATTGAAAAAATATATGTAAAGACATGTCCTTTTGAGTCAAGTTATAAAAGCCATCAACCACAAAAGTGCTCATTTATTCATTCATTTGTTCAAACCATAGATTTTTGTCAGATGTCTGTTTTATGTCTGGAAACGTCAGATACCAGAAATTTCACAATAATTAAAAATCGAGGTGGCCTTAAGTCAATCGTGAATGCAAAGCAATACCAATAAAAATATGAACAATATTTTTACAAGTCTATACAAAAGTTCATATTCAAAATAAAATATGCAAGAATAGACATGCAAGAATAACTACAAAAATAATTAAAAATAGAGCTATCAGAGGAAGTAGACATATGAGATACTAAATATATCATAAATTAAACAGTAAGGCCCTAGCACATGAATAATTAGACAAGAAAACAGAATAGAAAGTTCAAAAATAGGCTCAAATACATTTACTACATAATATAAGTAACATCTCAAGTCATGGAAATAAAAAACTTTTTATAAATTATTTTGGTACTACAAAATATCTATTTGAAAAAAGATAAAGTAGGATCTATTATCTCACACCATACACAAAAATAAACTCCAATGGATAAGAGATGTAAATATATATAATGAAACTATACATATACTAAAAGAAAGCAGGTGGGGAAAAGCTAACTTATGACTTAAAATCCAGAGTCCATAAAGGTAAACAATGATAAATTTTAATACATAAAATTTTAATGAAATAACATAAGCAAAATCAAAAGGCAAATAAGAAACAGGGAAAATATATATTTGTAATATATAAAATGGAAAAAGAAGCTACTGTCCCTAATAAACACAGAACCCTTACAATCCAGGGAAAGACCCAGCACCTGATGGAAAAGTGGCCGAAATACACAAGTAAACAATTCACACAAAAAATATAGAAATGGCTCATAGACATATGAAAAGATGTTCCACCTCACATATTTTTTAAAGAAAGGAAAATTAAAACTATGCTGATATTTCTCACCTGTCAGATTGGGAAACATTCAAAATCTTGAATATACTTTGTTGATGAAGCTATGGGGAAATGGACATTCTAATATATTGCTAGTGGGAATGCAGAATGGTACAATGTGGGAAGGGAAGTTTCATGATATTCATGAAAACTGCATATGCATTTACCTTATAATTCAGCAATTAGACTTCTAGGAAGTTAACTAGAAGACACACCTCCAACATTGCAAAACTATGTATCTAAAAAGTTATTCATTGTATCCTTTTCTGTAATTTTGAAACGTGGAAATAAGCTAAATGTCTATATAGAGAGATTATTAAATAGACTATGATAAAACTACACAATGCAAAAAGAGTATGATTTCTATGAGCTTATGGGAAGTGATTTGCTAGCTATATTGTTGAGTGGGGGAAGGACATATAGCAAATAAAAGGATATAAAGTATATGAGATGTGCTGTCTTTTGTATAAGAAAGGTGGGGGAAATTTTATACATACACGCACACACACACTCATTTTTCAAAAATAAAAGGAAAGAGAAACAAAAACAAAAACAAATTGGTCAGTAGTGTGTGTGGGCAGCAAGTAAGAGAGGATGTCAAGAACAAGGTAAAAGCGATGAAAAGAAAGGTGTAACTTTTATGAGTAGTTCTTTTGGTATAGTGTTGATATTTGGAACTATACTGGTGTTTTATATATTCAAAAATATATTTAAATCAATAAGAATAACAAAGTATCAAAAAACAAATGTAAACTTTATTCATTCAAAAATTAATACCAGTTCTACTTAGATGAATAACAACCACACCAAAGTAGAAGAAAAAAAAAGTCCCAATAACATTTGAGCAAATAAATTCGCCTGTATCCTCTCAGTCTAAAAAACAAAAAGAATGATTAAAAAAATATTGAAATCTACTTAGTAAATTTGATGTCAGTGGAGGTAAGGAAGAAGTCTTCTAAGATTGCTTAATCTATATTGTATAATTAAGCAATTGAGTAAATAGAATAAATAAATTGATATTTTGTGGAGTCAGGGCTTTGAGTGTGGGAGAAAAGACATATTATACAAATAAGTAATATGTAAAGGTAGTGAATAAGCTTGTACTGTTGGATTGGAATTCAAAGTATCAAGATGAGAGAGAGAGAGAAAGAAACAGAGAAAGAAGCAGAAATAAAAAGAGAGATATATATCCTAGCCCTCTCTGCAAAAAATAAAAAAAGGGCAGGGGTTGATCTAAAAATGATATTGCAATAGCCATGAGCATATCTGGTATCCAGATCTTGGTTTCTAAATATCATTCCCTACTGAAAAGAATCAAGATTCCTTAGAACATGACATTCCAAAAGTATCTTTTTGTGCCAAAAAGTAAGAAAGTCCTGAAAAACTATGGAAACATAAAAAAAGAGCTAGCTCAAAGGAGCTCCCATTGGCCAAATGTGGGATAATTTGAGCATAAAAGTGAATAGTGATCATAATTAATTATAACCAATTTAATTAGAAAAAATACCTAAGACCATATTGCTATAATAATTACTTAAGATGGTATAAGGGAAACTTCTTTATAATAAAATGCCAACTAACAGGTGTAGAAAAACTCATGTAGTTAGAAAACATTATTTTACAAACATCATAGCAATAGTTGATTCAGACAAGAACCACAAATAGATGCTAAAGCCACTGAGTGAAAGCTTGATGGGAAATAGAATACTACACAGTCTTAGATTAACTCTCCACAGATCAGTTATTATATTGAAAAGGGAAAATCATAACTATACAGTGGAAAAATTAATGAACACCATGTAAACCCAAGCAATCAAAATTAACATCACCAAAATGGAGCAAACTGACACTATTTGCCCTTGATGAAATACACGAGAGGGACATAACATCACTTGTGTCCTATCACTGACAAAAATGCATAACTTAATCATGAGGAAGCAATCAGACAAACCTCAACTGAAGAACATTTTACAGAATAACTGGCCTTCATCCTTAAGAAAGAAAATAATAAGTGTTGTGACAAAGAGACAAAGAAAATCTGAGTCCTGAATCAGATTAAAAGAGGCTGAGGAGATCTAATCACTGAATGCAATGTGAGATCCTGAACTGGATCTTGAATTTGGGAAATTAAGATATTATTTGTGTAACTAATAAATGTGACTATGTTAAACATTAGCACTGCTTCAAAATTAAATTTCCTGAATTTGATCATTTTTACTGTGTTTATGTAAAAGAACTTCGTCATTCCTGAGGACAGGTGGAAGTTTTTAAAGATGAAGGGAAATGACATCTGAAACATATTCTAAAGTTGTTTAGCAAAAACATAACAGTAATAATAATATGTGTGTGTGGAAAGGGAAAACAATAAAGCAAAAGAAGAAAAATTATAAAAATTGATAAGCTAAGGGAAAAGTATACAGTAGTTTATTGTATTACACTTTCAAATTACTTAAGTCGAATTTTTTTATAATAAGTAATTTTTTAAGTGGGCATTTTTTTCTGTCCAAAAAGATCTCAAAAATCATTCTAATGTGGAAAAGACATATTAATTAATTACAGATGCATGTAAAATAGATTTAATGGTCCACATTATGAATTTTGGCTGAATAAAAATCTGCTATTTGAGGAGGCCATTCTTCTACTTGATCTGAGAGATGCAAATGAAAACTTGTGATTGAGTTTTGTGCTCTCAAAGAATTGTAAAGGTTCCTCTCTATTCCCTCATAAGGAAAGAATTGAGAACTAGAATAAAAATATGAGGAGATCTGATGTTCTAAACTGCATTGTGTCCACAAAAACCACCTGTGGAAATGAACTCAAGGTTGACCTCACAGACTCCACCAACAGATTCTGATATAGGTCTAGGGCAGAGACAAACTAAATTTGTAACAAGTGCTCCTGATGATTCTGATAGACTGTCCAGGAACCATACTTTGAGAAATACTGCATTTAGGAGCTAAAAGAGAGAGCAATTGGAATATTAATAAAAGTCATGATTTACACTGTGGGCTTTAAACACCAAGTCTGAGGACCATTCTAAAAGTGCATGTGGGTTTCAAAATCAAAGCAACTAAGTGAGAAAGCAAATGATGTTTAAGTGCCCGTTAGACTTTTTTTGAAACTATAAAGAATAAAAAGTTAAAATACCAAGAATTCTATGAGATAATATTTAAAGAGTGATACAATAATCAACAACACTAAAGGCTGGCTCTTTAAAACAACTGATAAAAACTAAAAAATAACCCATGACACAATTAATCAAGAAAAAGAAAATTCTAACTAAATAATATTAGAAATGAAAAAGGGACTTGACTACAGAGAGAAAAAACAAAGAATACTATGAACAACATTATGCCAGCTTATTTGAAAGCTTTCACAAAACAGAAAATTTTAAAAAATGTAACTCACTAAAACATAAAAGAAGTTAAATTTATAGCTGAAATACTATTCCTACCCTACTCCACCTCTTCCCCACCACATACATGCAAACTAATATTCTCAGAATGTTTTATAGGTGAATTAGATCAGAAAATCAAGAAATGGATAATTTCAATATTTAAAATTTCTAGCAAAGAATTTAAAAGTGGGGAATATTCCCTAATTATGTTATGGAGCTAATACAACCTTGAAAGTAAAGCCATACAAAGCAGTATAAGAAATAAAATTACATGCTAATCTCACTTAGATTGTTGTTGTATATGTGACAAATAGAAAAAATTTTAAGTAAAATATTAGCAAACTGATTAAGCAATGCATAGGCAATGGAAGGATGGCCCAACATTTTTAACAAATATTAATGTAATTTACCACATCAACAGATTTAAAAAGAAAAAATATGATATTAATAGATGCAGAAAAACCATTAGAATATTTTTTAACTATTGTGAGGGTTGTAAGTAATGACCCAAATAAATGGAGAGATATTTTGTAAGTGGATTGAAAGATTAAATATGAAAATGTTAACTCTCTAAAAATCAGTTCAGGAATTTAATATAATTCTGTCAAAATATTGACAGGCAATTTCAAAGAACTTTACAAACTGCTCAAAAAGTAAATGGAAGAACAATGAGTGGGGCTTTTCCTTCCAATGATGTTACATTAGCACTTTTGGGCTAAGTGAATCAACTAGAAAACTAGACAAAATATTTCTTTAATTTCTTTGAAAGCATTGGAAAGCTAATAGAAATAGTGAGGGATTACTTGGCTCAGAATCAGGTATGGAGACCCTGGAAAGCAATTCCCTTCTCATGGAATAGTTGAGAGGCTAAGCAGAATTTTGACAGAGACTCGTGGGCTGGCAGAACTGATACTGAAATCTAAAATCAATCAAGAGGGTCTCTGTGAAAATTCCATCATCTGAGTAACCTATAAATATTCAAGTTCTTGCTGCATGTCTGATTATAAAATCATATTAAAGTATCCTGATTGATAACATTCTATGTGCTTAGGAAAAGCAAACAGAAATCCTTTGTGAAGAAAGAAAATTTCATCCTAGTCATTAAGATAGTTGTACAATTTTGCAAATACGTTATCTGGCACAAAATTTAAAATAACCCACAAAATTAAGGCAATATGCCTGCAAGATATTATGTAATTTGAACCGAAACCAAGAGAAATGACACACAAAAAAAATCTGAAACGAACCCACAGGGGCTCCAGATGTTAACGATCTTCAGGCACATGCTTTATATTTTATTTTAAGTTCTGAGATACATGTGCAGGATGTGCAGGTTTGTCATATAGGTAAATGTGTATCATGGTGGTTTGCTGCACCTATCAACCCATCACCTAGGTATTAAGCCCAACATGCATTAGCTATTTTTCCGGATGCTCTCCCTCCCCTCACTCCACCCCCAACAGGCCACAGTGTGTGTTGTTCCCCTCCCTGTGTCCATGTGTTCTCATTGTTCAGCTCCCACTTATAAGTGAGAACATGAAGTGTTGGGTTTTCTGTTCCTGCATTAGTTTGCTGAGGATAATGGCTTCCAGCTCCATCCATGTCCCTGAAAGGACATAATTGCTTTCATTTTATGGCTACAAAGTATTCCATGGTGTATATGTACCACATTTTCTGTATCCAGTCTATCATTGATGGGCATTTGGATTGATAACGTGTCTTTGCTATGGTGAACAGTGCTTCACAATAAACCTGCATGTATCTTTATAACAGAATGTTTTATATTCCTTTGGGTACAATGATATTTCTGGTTCTAGGTCTTTGAGGAATTGCCACACTGTTTTCTACAATGGTTGACCTAATTTATATTCCCACCAACAGTGTAAAAGTGTTCCTATTTCTCCACAGCCTCGCCAGCATCTGTTGTTTCTTGACTTTTTAATAATTGTCAGGCACATACTTTACATATCTAAGCTTACTATGTCAAGAAAATAAAAGAAAAAATTGAAAACTTTGGCAGAAAACTGAAAACTATTAAAAACAAATGGAATTTCAATAATATAAAAATACGTAAACTAAAAATAAGATTAGTAGATTTAGACAGATGAAAAGAGAATTGTTTGAGAAGAAATGGGTCCGAAAAAATCTAAACTGAATCAAAAAGAGAAAAATTATACAAAATGCAGACAAGAGTTAAAGACACATGCAGAATACAATGAGTGGATCTATCCTATATAATTGAAGTCACAGAAGGCAGAAGAGAGAAAATAGAACAGAAGCAGTATTTAAAAAGATAATAACTAAAAACATTTAAAAACTAATGGAAGATATGACATCATAGATTCAAGTGGGATTTTATCCCAAAGTGGGATACAAAGAAGAAATTCACATCTATGCATATTGTGATAAAACTACTGAAAATCAAAAATACAGATAAAAATTGTAATAGCCAGAAAAAAATGAAAGATTATCTTACAGGAGCCAAACTTAAATTTTCAGCTGAGTGTTTTCAAAAGAACAACATATAGCTTTACAACTCACTTTGCAATAAAAACACCAGGAAAAGATGACAAGGGAATGATATCTTTAACATACCAAAAGGAAATAATGCAGAATTCTAGACACAGTGGAAATATTCTTCAAGAAAACGTGTGAAATGATATTTTCCAGACAAAATATTTATCACCTGCAGGATACAATAAAAGAAAATGAAAAAATAAAAATAACCAAAAATTGAAGATTAGAGAGGCAGGAAGGAACAAAAAACAAACTATTGCAAATATATGCATAAATTTAAATAAACATTGACTATATAAAACAATATTAACAGTGTGTTTTAGCCTTTAAAATATAAACATAATTAAAACTGAAGTTGCAATGGTATACAAGTTGGGAGTGTAATAAATGGAGCCAAAGTTAAAAGGTCCTTCTATTGTCCAGAACGATAATAGCAGTACAAAGTAACAGTATATATTTATATCAAGTATGCATGATATAATATTTACTAATAGTAAAGGAATATAACATTCACGCTAACATAGAAAAAAGTAGAATAGTTCTCTAAATTGAATTCGAAAAGCAAGAAAAACCAAAAGCTGGTTCTTTGAAAAATATTACTAAAATTATTAAATTTCTAATTATAATGATAAAAACAAGGCAAGAAAGAAATAAAATTAATCACTTGAAAAGGTAAGACATATAAGAAATACTTAATAAATATATTTAAATACACATGCATACATGTATTAATATAATGTAAACATACTAAATACTCCAATTAAAAGATTTTAACTATATATTATTCATGAAAAAAATCTGAAACATAAAGTTTAAAAGTCATATGGGGGCTGGGCATGGTTGTTCACGCCTGTAATCTCAGCACTTTGGGAGGCCAAGGCTGGTGGATCACTTGAGGTCAGAAGTTCGAGACCAGCCTGCCAACGTGGTGAAACCTCGTCTTTAATAAAAATACAAAATTAGCTGGGCGTCATGGCAAGCGCCTACAGTCCAAGCTACTTGGGAGGCTAAGACAGGAGAATCACTTGCACCTGGAAGGTGGAGGCTGCAGTGAGCCAAGATTGCACCACTGCACTACGGCATGAGTGACAGAGCAAGACTCCATCTCAAAAAAGTCTTATACACCAACAACAACAAACAGAACCAAATCATGAGTGAACTCCCAGGCAACAAAAGCCAAAATTGACAAATGGGATCTCATTAAACTAAAGAGCTTCTGCACAGCAAAAGAAACTACCATCAGAGTGAACAGGCAACCTACAGAATGGGAGAAAATTTATGCAATCTACTCATCTGACAAAGGGCTAATATCCAGAATCTCCAATGAACTCAAACAAATTTACAAGAAAAAAACAAACAACCCCATCAAAAAGTGGGCAAAGGATATGAACAGACACTTCTCAAAAGAAGACATTTATGCAGCCAAAAAACACATGAAAAAATGCTTATCATCACTGGCCATCAGAGAAATGCAAATCAAAACCACAATGAGGTACCATCTCACACCAGTTAGAATGGCAATCATTAAAAAGTCAGGAAACAACAGGTGTTAGAGAGGATGTGGAGAAATAGGAACACTTTTACACTGTTGGTGGGACTGTAAACTAGTTCAACCATTGTGGAAGTCAGTGTGGCGATTCCTCAGGGATCTAGAACTAGAAATACCATTTGATCCAGCCATCCCATTACTGGGTATATACCCAAAGGATTATAAATCATGTTGCTATAAAGACACATGCACATGTATGTTTATTGCGGCACTATTCACAATAGCAAAGACTTGGAACCAACCCAAATGTCCCACAATGATAGACTGGATTAAGAAAATGTGGCACATATACACCATGGAATACTATGCAACCATAAAAAATGATGAGTCCATGTCCTTTGTAGGGACATGGATGAAGCTGGAAACCATCATTCTCAGCAAACTATCACAAGAACAAAAAACCAAACACCGCATGTTCTACTCATAGGTGGGAATTGAACAATGAGAACACATGGACACAGGAAGGGGAACATCACACACTGGAGCCTGTTGTGGGGTGGGGGGAGGGGGGAGGGATAGCATTAGGAGATATACCTAATGTTAAATGATGAGTTAATGGGTGCAGCACACCCACATGGCACATGTATACATATGTAACAAACCTGCACGTTGTGCACACGTACCCTAAAACTTAAAGTATGATAAAAAAAAAAAAGTCAAATGGAAAAGCATCTATAAAGAAACCCAAACCAAAAGTAAGTTGGTACAGCTATTTGGTATAGGAAGCCTCAAATCAAGGAGTATTACCAGAGATGAGAAGGAGCATTAATGGTAAAAGGAACAGTTCACCAAAAAGACATAACTGTCCTAAAACTGTGTGTACCTACTAACATCAAAATATATGAAAAAAAATTGACAGAACTGAAAGGAGAAACATACAAATCCACAATCACAGAAGGAGAGTATGTATCTTTTAGTAACTGATAGAATTAGTAGACCAAAAAATTCAAAAGCATGTAAAAAATAAAACCAAAATTTCAAATTAATAAATTTGACCTAATTGACAAAAATAGAACATATTATTGCAAGCATGCTACTTGCATATCAAAAACATATTTTTTACAAGAATATATAAACTTTTACCAAAACTGTCCATATACTGGCCCATAAGCCAAGTCCCAATAAGTATAAAAGGACTGAAGTTATAAAGAGTAGTTGGTCAGAGTTGAAATGAACTGGAAGTGAAAAACAGATATTTAGAAAACTCTCATATGCTTGAAAATTAAGCAATATACTTATAAATAATCCACAGATAAAGTATAACTCACAATAGAAATTTAAAAATATTTTGAAATTAATAATTAAAATAAAAAATCAAAATTTATGAGATGTGACTAAACCCACCATAAAAAAGTGTTTAGCTTTAAATGCATGTTGAAAAAAAAAAGAAACACTGAAAAACACTGAACCAAGACCCATTTCAGGATATTATAAAAAGATAGCAAAGATAATACAAATAAGTTAAAAAGATAGGAAATAATAAAAACATAAATTAATGAAATAAAAATAAATATACATGAAGATCAACAAAGCCAAAAGTTAGTTCCTAGGGGAAAAGAACCTATTAAAATTACTAAACCCCTGCTAAGAGAGCAAGAAAAAAAAGGGAGGAAAATATCTTAAGTCAGGAATAAAAGAAGTGACAGTACTATTGATCCTACAGATACTACAAAGCTAAAAAGAAGATATCGTGAACAAAATATTGAAAAGGAATTAAATAAATTAACAGAAATAGATTTCTAGAAAAACACCACTCACCAAGATTAATACAACAAAAACTTTTTAAAAACTGAATAATCCTACAAGAGACTAAATCTATAATTTATTATTTCCAGGAAATAAAGACAGGAAACATATTAATTAAAAGACCCCTAGGGATCTATCAACCCATCACAATGTATGGATAAAGTAAGTTTTAAATAAGATATTTACATGACAATGTAGAAAATGTGAACATTGTGTTAGTATTGGATAATGTTACCAAATTATTGTTAAACAAGCTTGTTTAGGTGTGATAAGATATTGTGTTTATGTTTCAAAAATATTCTTTGCCTTTATTGATCTATACTATAATATGCACAATTGAATGAGGCATAGAATTTACTTCAAAATGATCAGCTGTTATGCACTGGTAGGGTTTTATAGTAAAATAATATTTGATATGCTTTGAAATTGTTGAAAGTAGGTCTTGGTTATACCAAGTTCATTAGAATAGTCTCTCTACTTTGTATATATTTAAAATTTTCCATAATAAAACATTTAAAAATATTCTCCAGAACCAGATGGATTTACCAGAGAATTTTCCAAACATTTAGACAGCAATAACATCAGCCTTACACAGCCTCTTCCATAGAAGAGTAGAAGAGGGACCAGAAGGATTCTGAGAAGAGAAACCTGGGGCAGGATTATTTTCTTTTTTAATTTACTCTAATTTTCTTGTAAAAAAAAAATAGACACATGAAATAGAGTACAAAACCAAAAACCCACATAAAATATCTACAAAAAACTAAGTGATATGTTATCTTCAGAAACTTCAAAATGTAAGTAGGTATAGACAAATCACCAACCACTGTAATATCAACTACACGACTACTGTAGTATTAGAAAAAGCCTGTGAAGAAACAAAGAGAAAGCAATAAGGATTCTGATAGCTTCAGACTAAGAGACTAAGTCTCAAATTCACCTTAGCCCTAGACTAACTCTCAAGTTTTCCAACAATTACTCCCTGGTAAATGCAGTGAGGCAATATGAGAACAGCATCTGAAACTGGAAGGATGTTTTATAGGATCTAATTCATGGGTAAATTCAAGTGGACAGTGATAAGATATGGCAGTACTGGAACAGTCTTGGTTCAATAAACTATCAAAATTTGTATACTGATTCTCATTTCCAGAACAAAATAATTAAGAAAAATCTGCTTGGAGTATAATCTAATGGAGCAGAATAGAAATAATAGGAGGAAAGGATAAAGAAGGCCCAGATAAAGTGTGAGAGGAAGCAGAAGAAGAATTCAAGATGTACAGAGACATCGTGGTATGAAAACACTAGAAGAGCCGGGTGCGGTGGCTTATGTAATCCCAGCACTTTGGGAGGCCGAGGCAGGCGGAATCACGAGGTCAGGAGATCGAGACCATCCTGGCTAACACGGTGAAACCTGTCTCTACTAAAAATACAAAAAATTAGCAGGGCGTGGTGGCAGGTGCCTGTAGTCCCAGCTACTTGGAGGCTGAGGCAGGAGAATGGCGTGAACCTGGGAGGCAGAGCTTGCAATGAGCCAAGATCATGCCACTGCACTCCAGCCTAGGCGACACAGCCAGACTCTGTCTCATAAAAAAAAAAAAAAAAGAAAGAAAAAAAGAAAAAAGAAAAGAAAACAGTAGAAGAGAGAGATCTAGAGCAGTGGACCTAAATAAAAGTATCCTGGCTCATCATTCTTTCTTAAAATTATGATAAAACTCATAAAATGAGCAACAGTAAAGGGTCATATTCAAATTTATCACAAAGTTACTTATGAAAGTAATAATCATCATCAAAATAACACTCCTCCAAAAATTGAAAGCATGCCAGAAAGGTGTGTTCGCAAAATAGGTAAAAACTGCAACCTTAATAGAGCAAAAAGAATGAAGATAAGTGACATAAGCATAACTGAAAAACACAAATCGGAATTTTTAAAAAATACATATGAAATCATTGATGGAAAGGAACATTTGAAAACAGAGGGAACAGAACTTTAGAAAAAAATAGAAATAAAAGAGAAAATTATCATTTTTAGATTTTAGGATTTTAGAAAAGAAAATTAAATTTTAAAGAACACAAGAGTGAATAATCCTATTTGGCAATGCCTTAATAGAAAATGGAAAGAATGAAAATGTCAAAAATCAAAAGGAAATAAAGAGATTTTTTAAAAGGCTAGGTGTTTTTTAAAGGTAAAGATGATCCAACATGAATATAATAGCAGACTCTGGAAAAGAAAACCAAAGTATTGGAATGAAACAAATACTAAAAACCATAAATCAAGAAAAATTTCTTGAAGTAACAGGTGACCTGAAGTTACATGTTGAAAAGACAGAGTATTTGCTGCTGAAAAGTCTGATGACAGTCTGATTTTTTTCCTTGTAAATAACTCATGAACTCTCAAAAGATAGTTAAATATACTCAAAAATTAGTCTTAAAATATGAAAAAATTAAAATAAAATAATTTGATATCTATCTAGTGGGATAAACCTTGCAATAAACAGTCTGACTCCATATGTTAAGTATTTGACTGCTGACATATTTTAAGCTTCACTCCTCCCCCTTGTCTATCTGCCCTACATCTGGACAAATGACAAAAAAAGCTCAGATGCTTCCTTCTTTGGCACCAGTGGGAGGTTTAAATCCTGCAAACTCCTACCCATGCATGGAAGCCCCTATACCTGCCTACTCTCCAACCATCATCAAAACTCCAAGCCAGTCTCCTTACTCTTTCAAGTCATTTTTGGACCAGCTTGGAAAGACTGCTCTACTCTCTCAAAAAGCTTCATAATGAGAGTGGTAAGCCTTTTTATATTCTCTTGGAGTACACGTAGTTTTATTGGTCCCAATACCCAAACCAAATTTTGGGTGGAGATCCATCTCATGTTTAAGGAATGGCCACAAAAACCTCACCAGGAAGAACTATTACAAGTGAGGTTAAAACATACCTTGACATATATCCCTACATCATATATCCTAACTGGGAAGACAGCAAAATCAATCAATGTAATCTATATTAACAGAATAAAGGAGAAAAATCATATGGTTGTCAAAGAAATACAAAAGGCAATGACAAAACTTAACATCTAATCATTATTTTTTAAAATATAAGCAAAAAGAATAGAAAGAAACTTTCTTACATTGACAAATGTACTGTATTAGTCAGGGTCACAGCAGAAAATAGCACCGTCAATAAGGTTAAGAATAGGAAATGGGAAAGAGAAGCTGTTATTATTCCCGCAAGAACAATGAGATGAGCTTGTAGCTGCAGAAGAGTTCTGCTGAAAGGAACTATGACTTTGGTAGATAAATGCAGTTACTGCCTCCTCAAACCCAACGGGGAGGTCTCTGGAAGGATGAAGACCATACTGTTTTTCCTTTCATCCTCCTGATTTTCTGTCACTGCCTGTCCTCAGCCAAGCACAACTAGAAACCAGTAGACAAGGGGCCCTGTAGACACGGGGTAGAAATAAAGATCAGTCTACTGGGGAAAATCAGAGTGAAGAACCATAGAGTAGACCTGGAAAGAAATGAAGATTTAAGCTAACTTCGAAATATCTACAGCAAACACTACATTCAAAATATTGATAGCTTTCCTTGCTTAAATCAGAAAAACTATAAAAATTTCTGTTATCATGGCTTCTATTTAACACTGTCCTGAAGGTCCCAACCAGTGCAATAAGACGAGAAGAAAATAATAATATGTGAGTATAAGAATAGAAAGTAACAAATAAAATATTATTTTAAAAAGATGCACTTGTATATTCAGAATATCCAAAGAATCTACAGATAAATTATCAAAATAAATGAGTTTAGCAAGTTTACTGGATTCAAAAGCAATATTCAATTAATTTTATTTTACATGCCAGTAATGAGCTAAACATTATTTTCTTTTAACAATCTGAAAAAAAGGGCCAGCCGCAGTGGTTCATGCCTTTAATCCCAGCACTTTGGGAGGCCGAGACAAGCAGATCACTTGAGAGAGGCAGATAACTTGAGTTCCTGACCAGAACTTGGTCAGGAGTTTGAGACCAGCCTGGCCAACATTGTGAAACCATGGTGGCACATGCCTATAATCCCAGCTACTTGGGAGGCTGAGGCAGGGGAATTGCTTGAACCCAGGAGGTGGAGGTTGCAATGAGCTGAGATTGCACCATTGCACTCCAGCCTTGGTGACAGAGTGAGTTTTTGTGTCAAAAAAAAAAAAAAATCCCATTTACGATAGCATTAGCATTATCAAACATCTAGGAAACATGTTTTTGTTTTTTTGTTTTTTTTAAAAAAAAAAAAAGAAAGAAAGGCAACACACCTATACAGAGGGCCTGCTCTATAAGATATCAATACCTTTTATAAAGCTAAAATAACTATGAAAGTATGGTATTGTGCAAGGATTGACACGAACAGATATTGGAAAGGAGACATGTATGAATGTACACTTAATTTACAACAAATGTGCAAGGCACTGAAAAAATAAAAAAATCAGCAAATGATGTTTAGCCAATAAGACACCCACATGACAAAAACTGAACTTGACCTCAACCTTACACCATACACTAAAAATTAATAAGTAGAATACAGATGTAAATATGAATGATAAACAATAATTTTTCCAGAAGTTACTAGAGTCTTTTGATGACATCAGGTGGGGATGACTTATTAAAAAGTATGAAGATGCTGATTTTTCATCAATATGACAATGTTAAAATTAAGAACTTCTGTTCACCAAAAAGACACCAAGATGATGGCAAGAAGGCAAATATATGTATAAGAAGGTGTTTTTTCAACAGTCAGAAATGAAAAAAGGCATATATATCATTTGCATACAGAACTCCCTTACATATTAAAAAGACACACAGGCCAAAAAAAATATGAACAGGAAACATGTACATGCATTTCACAAAAAGAGATATCCAAATATCTGGTAAACTTCTGAAAAGATGCTCAAATTCCAACCTAGATGGACATCAGATTGACTAAATTTGAAAGGCTGAAAATACCAAGTGTTAGCAAAGATAGGTGAATATCGAAACTCTCACACATGGCTGGTGGGAATAAAAACTAGTACAACTACATTGAAAGACTACTTCGTTATACCTACTAGTGTTAACGCATAAATTCTATGTCTGGAGTACACTCAACAGAAATTAATATATTTGTACATTAAAAGGCATGTAAAAAATTTTCAAAGCAGTATTATTCATAATAGCCATATATAATAAATAAAATGTCTATCAACAGCAAAATGAATGAATATTTCAAGAAATGGTACTGAAATCTGATCTACACACGGGTAATTCACAGAAGAAGAAACGAGATTGGCCACGAAACATATGAAAAATGTCCTGCCTTGGAAATTACAACCACAGTGAGATACATTTTGCACCCATTAGACTAACAATAAAAAGGGTTAATGTTAGAAAATACGTATGTTGGCGGCATCATTCACAATAGCCAAGGTACGGAAACAACCTAAATGTCCATCAATGGATAAATGAATTAAGAAAACATGATATATACACAAAATGAAATATTATTCAGCTTTTTTTAAAAAAGGAAAATTTTGCAATACACGACAACATGGATAAACCTGGAGGTAACACAAGCCAGTCACAGGACAAATACTGCGTAATGCCACTTAGATGAGATATTTAAAATAGTCAAACTCATAAAAGCAGAGAACAAAACAGTGGTCACCAAGGGCAGGAGAGAAGGGAAATAGAAAGTTGCTGTTCAATGGGTAGAATGTTTCAGTAATGCAAGATGAGTAAGTTCTAGGGATCTGCTATACAACATTGTACCTATAGCTAACAATATTTTGTTGTACCCTTAAAAATCTGTTAAGATACCTTTGGGACTAAGAGGAATTCAACAGAGGAGGGGTACTCGGGTTTTTTGTAATACGTTATTTCTTAAAGCAGATGATGGGTACAAGCATATTCATTAAATCATTATTTAGATACAAACCTAATATTTAATCATTCATTTTATTTAAGAGGGGGTGACCAGATTATGAGTGATTTGAAATCCAGAGATGTTGCATTTGATAAGTAGACAACAGGGAGTCACTTTACACCATGATGTAGAAAACTCAGGAACAGCTGTAAGCAGAGTACACCAAATAGAAGAAAAGCTATAACTTGCATAATGTAGATGTCAGATGATGAGTCTTCCCTAGGATTTGGGAAGTAGGGGAAAAAAAGAGAAATCAACAGACACTTTGTGACCTCTCTCCTTTTCCCTGGTGTCTCTGTGCCCCCTTTACACTTCAAAGGGCATTCTAAGGAAAACTCGGCCATGGGAACATTGGATCAACTTCCAAAGTAGGATGGGTTCCCAAAAACCATCCAGGCTGTGCCTCCTATCACTGAAGAAAGTCGCACTGAGGCAACACTGACTAACATAAAGCTCTCTGATCTTTCCAACCTGGGAAACCTCAAAGGAGTATGCCTTTTTCATTTGGGGTGACAAATATGTTAGGTTTATTACTTTAATGCATGACTTTTCTACTCTACCAAGCACATAATACTTATGTATTTTAGATTTAACCGGTTGGCAGTGACTTTGTTCTCAGCATGGCTGATGAAAATTAAGAGTTCATGCAGAGTATGTTTCTCCCACTCAGACTAGCCTCTAGCATCCCTGCTGTTCCTTTTAAGTTCTGATTTATCACGAAGCTTGTCTGGGTCTTTGCTTCGTCCATGTCTAGAGAGTACAGATACACATGTGCTTACAATTACATTTGTCAACAAGTCTCTGTGGACAGTGAAAAAGCAGGTCAAAATTTTGTGTGATTTTTACAGGTTGCTTTTGAGATAAAAACATGCTCTTAGTTATCACAAGAAGTGAAACTTGTTACCTAAATTTGTATTTAAAACTTAAATTTTAAGTGATGGCAGGGCTGGGATTTACCTCTGAACTTTCCATTACGCCAAACTGACTCTGTTCTATAGCATACCTGGATTTCAGTAAAGCATCTCTTCATCCTTTTGTGGCCAAAATAGACATCTCTGCATTAGATTAGCTAGTGTGGCAAATGAGATCACTAAATGGTTTAGTAACATTGACAACTAATGAACAATGGTACCTTGAAAGGCAAGTTGACGGTACTAAGCCATACCCCAACCTATAGCCCACCACTAGGAAATACCTGGCTTCAAATCAGGCGTTGATGGTGCTGATTATGGTGATCTAACATGCACATGAACTGGGATGATCTGTCCCACAGATGAGAGAACCAGAATCCAAAGCGCTCTGTACTGCCTGAAATGATTGCCCTCAGGTAGGTAGCAAAACGAAGTTTTGTTAGATGGACAAACACATTTATCCATCAAACATGCACCATGCGTGCTGTGCTGGGTGTTGAGGGAAATCCTGATCTTCTCAGCTGACATTTCCTTCCCAGTAGGGATGCATCCATTAGCGTAACATCCCCAGCCTCCTGCTGCTGCTCTCTCACTTCTCAAGGGAGGTGAGGTTATTTATCCAACCGATGAGTTTGGAAGGAGAAATGAAACATGAGCAGCTTAGCCCCTTCCAGTCTCCCTCCTGAGAGCTTGCTGGCCAAGGAGAACCAACACTCTCTTCTTCTCAGCACCCTAAGTTTACAAGTGCAGGCACCCACATGGGAAGCCTACGGCTGGTTAGTACTGTCTGTGACAGAGTGTTCAGTCTAATTCTGGGATGCTATATTAAGAAGTTCATTGTTACTGCATATGTAAGTCATCCCCCCCAAGCCAGTTTGTGTTAGTAATAAAGTTTATATACTTACATATAAACTTTATATGCACATGCATATACACACACACATTTATTGTGCAATTGGCTCTGAATTGGTTCTCAGGCAGGAAAAGGTGGTATTCTTTTATTGGATCCCTTCAGACCCAACATTGGACTCTGAGGTTGTGGGTAGGGAGAAGGGAACTCATTGTTCCATTTATAATAAGCTGACTCTTTACCGAGGTCTCAGCAAGTTCTCACAACGGTGATAGGTCAGTGCTAGCATTCCTATTTTGCTGCTATGGAAAATGGAGCTTAGTTATGTGCCTGGAACCACCAATAACAAGCAGTAAAGCCAAACTCAACACCAGGTCTGCCTGCTGCAGAAACTCTTGTCTCCCTCTGCATTACCCTATCTCATACAGATAAACAGTAGAGAGTCACTGTCCTTGAGGAGCTCTAGCTTAGCCACAACCTGCTATTTTAGCCTGGCTCCTGAAAGCCTGACATTTCTGCCATGTTCCTGGGAAGTATCATGGCTTTATATTTCTTCAGAGTAACAAATCTAAGTATGTAGTAGTAGCTTCATATGACACATATATACTGAAATAATTTTAAATATACTGAGGGAGGAGGATTGCTGTTTATTTGTAAAGTAAAGCACTCTTCAGTAATTCAAATATTTATCATTTATGTTTTTGTATATTTAAATATTTAAATGATGGTGTTCCTTTCATTAGGACATATCAATTCTGTAACTATTTTTATTGCAGAGTTACTTTTTAACATTGATATAAAAACTGAAGTGTT
Source organism: Homo sapiens (assembly GCF_000001405.40). Taxonomy (NCBI): domain Eukaryota; kingdom Metazoa; phylum Chordata; class Mammalia; order Primates; family Hominidae; genus Homo; species Homo sapiens. The sequence continues at coordinate 78,990,737 of NC_000004.12, read as the reverse complement.
GTACTTTTTTTGTCTTTACAATTACAAGGTTGGATTTGAAATAGATGTCTGAAAAGGTTGTATGAAGCATAAAAGTCCTATTTATTAATTTCTTAACTTTGCAAAGCAGTTTACAGTTGTCAAAACATTTTAGCATGCATTCTCTCATTAAATCCTGACAACAACCCTGATGAAGGAGAGTGCAGCTATTATTATCTCTCTGTTCTTAATGAGAAAATATGTTTCAGCCCATTCTTTAATGTGGCTCAGGTTGCAGATAAGGGAAGCTGAGAGCTCAGGTTTTGAAATTTATCTCTTGAATTCTGGATCTATGCTGAGAAACAGTTCTCTCTTCAACAGTTGGGAAAATGTAGATTTACCAGCATATAGTGCTTGCAATCAATTTAGATACTGAGATTAGATAGTCAATAGTCAGGACTGCTGAGGGAGAGTTTTTCTGTAGCTACAAAAAAGAAAAAGAAAAGAAGGAAAAAAAAAACAGGCTTTAAACAGAGATATGAAACAAGATTTGGACTGACATTCAGAATCAAGGTCCCCAAAATTTGTTCCACCTGCCCAAGCCCTGAAGCCCAGCACCCCACCCCATTCCTACACACACACACACACACACACAAACACACGCACACACGTGCGCGCACACACGCGCACACATACACACACACACGCACACACGCACACACGCGCGCGCACACACACACACACGCACACACACACACGTCATTGGCCCTGCAGACAAAGTTCTTTCTGCCCCTTATTCAAAATGCAGTTCCAGGCCATTCTACAGAGACAGGAAGGAGTAAAGAGCCAAAGACACTTGAGGCATGCCGAGAGAACGTTAGAACCATTTAAGAACATTCAGTGCTCTGAGTAAGAAACATAGTGAGCAGCTTGGGAGTCAGTACGGAAGCAATTAAAGTTTGTTTTCTTCTATGTCCTTAAAAGCTACTGAGTGAATGCTGGAATGAATGATCAGGGTTCAGTGTAACTTCCACACAGACGAAAATATTTTAAAAGGTTCGGTTTGTGATAATGGCACTTAGTTTGAGATGCTATGCATCTGATTGTATCTGGGAGCCTTTTTTTCTTAACCAGTGCTCTAAATATAATGGAGTTTATTATGTATAAGTAGAATATAAACTTATTGGATATTCATAATTGTGCTGAAACAAACAATAAAAAGAAAAATAGTAACAAAAGGTCAGATTAGAGACCTTTGCAGAAAGCAATATATGTGATCCCTATTGAAAAAGCTACACATTTTTGCAGAGGTTTATACCTAACATTGGAATGCATGTTATTTTTTAAAATAATTTCAAACACAGTTTCCCCCAGTGATCTTATAACAAGCAGGCATTTGAGGCAACTTTTTAATTGAACTGAATATTATACATAATAATTTAATATACATTTAGAAAAGTACCTAGATCGTAAGGTACATACAGCTTGAGGAGTTTTCACATGGTGAACACACCTGTGTGAATATTGCCCAAAAGAAAGAGACCATTGTCAGCATCCCAGAAGCCCTACAGCTACTAACACCTCTCCTGTCACTTCCTTCCTCCAAGGTAACCACCATTCTGACTCCTCACAGCACATTTCGTTTTGGCATAAGTTCAATTTTCATCCTAAGGATGAGGAGTCAAGGGTTCATGAAGCTGCCGTGACCCTTCCATGGTCACACAATTCTCCAGTCTGCCAGATCCAGGTCTCATTTCCAGTCCTGTGCCCTGTCTTCTATCCCATACTGCTACATTTCCCTTCAATCTTCTGGAAAATAGAGATGATTTTGTACCATACTTGTTGTTCATGTCTATTTAATACTAACAGAAAGCTGTGATGATCATCCTGAATATGGATGTCCAAATATGACTTTTATAAGAATATTCCAGGCAGCAAGCACCACTCCTTGTTGTAGCCTTTCTACCCCTTCTTATGAATGGAATCATGCTGCAAAAATCAAAGTTCTTACCAATTTTCAGTCCTAATGTCACACAGCTAAATAATTACATTCATGTCATCTTTGGAATGCAACATATTGCTAACTTTTTTTTTAAATCCTGGTGAAATAGCTCAAATATTGGTAAAGGGGAGAAACTTCCAAGCAAGTAGCTGCAAGAGAAACATGAAAACAGTGTAATTCTGATAGTTACCAGGTAATAAAGTTAGTGGTCTCTATAAAGAAATTATACCTTTCTTCAAGAAAGTTAATGCAAATGATTTTTTTTTGCCTCACTTTGTTTTCTCTAATTAGCTGACATTTAAGTGGGTTGATCTTACTCTCCACTTTCCCTTTGACTTGGAGAAAAAGAATTTGTCAGACACTGCTGACTTTTCAAAGTTATCACCTTACAACTTCCAAATTAAGCTTCCGGATTAAGCTTGGTCAAAAAATTACCTTAAAAAAATTATTTATTTTCAATGTAGAGCAATTCTGATACTAAGATCAGAATTTATATAAGCTATGTTTTTTAAAAAGGAGAAATGATGGATATTCTGCTAATACATTGCATATAACTGTAGATAATGAGCCTACAATAGCTGAAGACTATTAAGATTATGCAGATAAAAACATCTCATCCCTAAAAGAATGGGTAAGCAAAAGCTTCTCCTCCTCTATAATGTCAGCATTAGAAAGCAACCAGAAAATAGAAAAAGTAAAAACAACTTCTGAATGAGGTAATACAGAAACAGCATTCTTTCTATAGCACTGAATTATTCAAAAATATAATGAAATTCAAGGAAACATCAGATGCTGCAGGTACATGAAGACAACTTTGTTTTTATAACCAATTTCAGGCAGATAAATACTAGAATCCTTTCCAATTTCTCCCCTATGAAACTGAAGTGTCACCAAGATTTACAGCCCCCTCAAGTTCCCTTTTCAGAGGAACATTCATTTACATAAACAGATAATCCTAGATAAAAATTTCCATTAGACAAAGGTGAAATGGATCAATTTTCTCTGCCAAGACAAATCTTAAATCTTGAACAGATAGGGTCATTATTACACCAGCCCCATTTCAGAAATAATGTATTTTTAAAAAATCAGCCGATAGCAGCCATTTCCAGCTTTCCAATTATCTTTAAGAAAAGCTTATTCTGTGGACAATAAAGCACATTACTGCACAATATGATACAGTCCATAAAGATCACAATGTTTTATGAAAGGTTAAAGAAAGCTCAGCACATTTAGGGGAATGTCATAACCCGCAAAGTCTTTCAAGACTTCAGCTGAAGCTGAGGGCATGCTGTGCAAACACGGTACAAGGCAACTCAGTATTCCTTTCGGTATCAAAACACTGAAGGAAAAAGCATATGCTAGGATGATTCTGTTATGAATCCTGCGATTCCTACAGACAAGATGGGAGAGAAATCAAATCACAAGAAATATCTCTTTGTTTTTGAAACAACCAGATTCACTCATACGAGAGTTACATGTCCACAAGAAGGCAAGTGTATTTTCTTGGTACTCAGTGTCTGTCTCACTGCTCTTTAAGCAACTCTTTCATGCTGTTTCATTAATATTAATAAAACTATAGAGAAATAAGAAGTTATCTGGTTTCCCCCCATTCTTTGTAAAATGCCCTAGTAATTTTAAATGACTAAGGAGCAAGAGATGTGTGCAATGATACTCACATAATAATTACACAAGGAAGTCCAAATTCTTGGATGCCTCATATATATATATATATACACACACATATATATTACATATATTATATATACACATATATATTATATATAATATATATGTGTGTGTATATATATATATTAGTATCAGTATGAGTCTGGAGATTTGGAGCTCACTCCATATTTTCTTCTGTACCAACCATCAACTGCATGAAACTGTTTCAGAGGCTAATGCTTTCTTATCAAATTAACAGAGAAATAATTCACTGTACCTGTAACAGGCAAGGCTACAATGGGGAAAGAGATAAAGGAGACCCAGTCTCAGTCCTTTCAGGAACTTATGCATACCATGGAAGGTGTGGAGTACAGGTTGGGGGCAGACTATTTAAATTTGAAATTCAGATTAAAATTAGAATATAGAACTGGATGAAAGAAAATTCCATCAGATTCACTCAAATTGCAATGAACCTAAAAGAATGTGATTCTGCAAACTCCCAAAATTATAGTTTGAGGTGAATAACAGCTTTGAAGAAGCTTGAGACAGTTTTTTCCATGTTATCCAGAGATGGGGAAATACCTAAATCTTCTAAATACTACTGTATGAGAGAATCCACTGAAGTCCAAGTTATTATTTTTAAAATGATTTTTAAATAAAATTCATATCAAGTAGTCTTCTAGATTATGTAACTAAAACAAGATTCAGTTCAGGAAATAAATTACCTTTAATACAATCATAAATTCAACAGATATTTAAGCTATATTCAAATATTTTATTTAAAGAAAACTCAGCAGAGGCAGAGTCAAATACACTGTTCATTCTTCTAATAGGACAGACCACCTAGGAGAAGTGAGAAGTGGAGGGAGGAGAGAAAATTAATCTGTTCCATATTTCCAAAGGCCAAAGTTTTTATGTAATAGGCCAAAATAGCAAGGGAAAAAGAACGTGGCTGCCTAGTTGTCGTTTGAATAATAGAGATTTACAGGTCAAAAAATAGATGAAGTTGGACGCATGGTTCTGGGATTGAGCCAGGTAGATTGAATAGAGGCAAATTCTTCTCTTGAATGCACGTTCTCATGTTGCACCAGAGAGCGGAAACTGATATGCCAACATTTCCCCCTCTAAAACAGTTGTCCATCCTGAGCTTCTTATTAATGCTATTCTTCCTTGCTTGCTTCTTTTCTTCACCTGCCCAGAAGACAGGAATATCAGGAGAAAGTTCAGAAGAAAGTTCCCACCCATGTTCACATAACAGGTGCATGCCTGTGATCAAAATACTTAGTAGGAATAGAAAATAAGTCTTCAGTCCTATAATGAGATGGGAAAATAATTTTATACTTAAAGTTGGCACCAGATTCTTTGTTGTGGGGTGTAAGGGACACCTTGATAAGTACTTGGAATAGAATATGAGACCTCAGGGTACTAGGCTATGCTCTGAATATGACAAGGAAAGAAAAATGTGTTTGTCTTTCTAACAACGAGAGGAAGATAAAGCAGGGGTGGGGAGCAGGAGCAGGTGGGGCCAGAGAACTGGCAGAATGCTGTAAGGAGCACAAAGTGACTTGCCACTAAAATCCACAACAAACTCACTAAATGTTTGATGTGAGTGAATTTCATACGGAAACAAATAAAGGAGCAAAACAGTGAATTGAAGTGAAAATAGCAAAGCCTCTGCAAAGGCAGGAACAGACCACAAGCACAATGAAATCAGCAGAAATCTTCAAGAAGCTTAGAACCCTAAAGGGCAGTGGGATTCGAGGTTAGAGGCTATCCTACCTTGCTCTCAAGTTTGAAGGGTCCCCAGGTGTCTGTCTGGAACAAGACTTCTAAGCTACCTTTTGCTTTGCAAGGGATCTTTACAAGTCAATAGAAGGAACATGAAGGAGAAACTTGTGGCATTGCTTTTATAAGCATACTTTTCTGAGTAGAAGTGCACCTTAAATGTCATTTTAACTTTTTATGTGCATGTAAATAGCTATTATTTCAGTTGCTGGAATATTAGTCACAACATCTAATGATGTGGAGATTGTTGCCTTATAAAACTCACAGCTGGGTAGCTACATGGCTCAAGGCAAAAGCCTATTTTAAAATCCATTGCTTTAGGAGGAGAATGTTTATTAAAACATATATCTATTAAAAATATATGATGCCTCATTGGTCATTCTCTGTGTTGCAGTGCCAACCACAGTTTTTCCAGCAGGGCTGAGTTGATACCTGAAAACTTGGCAAGGTCCACAGCCTCATAATTTACCAGTCCATCAAAAAATAAATAAATCCCAATAACCAGAAAGTAAATCACCAAAGGTGCCTGCACAGCAGCCCATAAACTCGTGTTTACACAGGCTCCATGGAGGTAGCCATTGCTGTCAGTAAAATATTTCTAAGCGTGTAGGGAAGTGAATGTTCAAAAAGGAATAAATGCTTGATCTCCTTGTGACAGAAGTTAAATGAATTAATAATGAAGATACAGTAAGTGGGACTGATATTTGTAAAATGTAGAAAAGTGTGCTGGGGAAAATAAGGAAGACTAGTAACTGGTGTTAACAAGGGCTGAAAAAAAACATACAGAAAGACTGGTAACTTCATGTAATTAAGCTACAATCTACCTTCAGTAGTTCTCACAATGTTGCTTAAGTTATAGAGGAAGATAATCTTTTCACCAACAGTAACAAACTAAGAGTAACTTGTAGGGATAAACAATTTCCAAAGAAAAACTCCTGCCTTTTAAAAATGTACCATTAGCCCAATCCTGATGTCTACCCTTGTTTAAAAAGTAGATTACTTAATCTCTGGATAGTCTATCATCTAAAATAAATAGTTGAATATATATTTTTGGTCTGAACCTAGTAGAGGTTCCATAAACACATGGTTCACTGAATCCAAGTCCTTTAATTGTGCTTATTTTCCTTTCTGCCACCAACTTTGCACGATTATTTTGCTTTAATACATTTCCATCAGGGTAAACCCCAAAAAATGTAGAGATGAAAATGTTCCAAGAGGGTAAAGGTAACGAGGCATGTGAAAATGTTTTTCAACAAAGTTGAAAAATGAGATTTAGAATAAGGCTTATCTTTGACTTTCAACTATTATAATTCTCTGTTTTTCACCATTATCGTGATGTAGAAGCAATGGAAAGGGTCATTCAACTGAAACCTAGAGAGCAATGGAACTAATTAATTGACCAAGTAACTTTCGCAAAGCCAATGGCATAGAACCTCTAAATCTATCTTTCTGGAATCCAATTAAGAGCTCTACTCGGTGCTGATCCCATGTCTCTGCTTTACCCTTATCTACATGCATCCAGGGGTCTGTAAGAACACTGAGTACACCTCCCAGCTCCTCCCAGCTCCCCACTTTGAGGCACTTTTTTCCCCAGCTGCCTGGATGGTCCAGCTGTCACTGGTTCACAGCTGAGTCCCTCCCTGGGCACTACCCTCAACAGAAGGGACCTGCCTCACCCCAAATTAAGCAATTTCCCATAGGGCAGCCCCACAGCCAGTAAGTAGTCAGTGTGGGGATACAACCCCCTAGAACCTGACCTATAATAGGGTTTCTCTTTTAACTTACAGCAAAATTCGACTGAAACCTAGAGAGAAAAAGCCCCATTGAAAGCTATCCAATGTCCATCCATTGCCATTTTTTTGTGCGCAGTTGATCTCTATTGTTCCACCTAAAGAACACTCTATTGCTAATAGCCATCCCTTTACTGACAGAGACAAATCATATTGATTTTACAGAAAAGTGGGATTAATTCTCTACTGAACTCAGGAGAGAATTATTTCATATCTCCTTTCAATACCATCTTATTCATGCCCCTTCCTCAGGCAATTGTGGCCATATTCCTAGAGTAGAAAGAAAAACTAGACCTGAAATGGAATCGTTTATGAATACTTCCAAAGGAAATAGGCCAATTCTAACCAATTTTCACCTTTATAATTCAGTAACTCCCTTGAATGAAGCTGTCTGCTGTGGCCCACCTGGGATGTCACAAGAACTAGCAATTTTGAAGTTTTCTTACCTGTTGGAAGGTCTAGATCGCCTCCACTCACCAAGTCTTTTCTCCAACTACCAGGTTGTAATAGGTAAAATTATTCTTCCATCCTTGGAGTTGTTCATCCAGACTTATTTGGAGAAATAATAAAGGTTTCAAAATGTAGAGTTTTTACTTCGGTAGCCATGGTGCATTTGCTTCCTATCATTGCTATACCAAATTTCCAAAAATATAGTGGCTCAGAACAATGCAAACTTATTATCTCACAATTCTGTAGTTCAAAAGTCTGAAATATGCCTTACAGGCTAAAATAAAGGTGTTGGCAAGGCTGAGTTCCTTCTGGAGGCCCCAGAAGAGAGTTCAGCTTACCTTTTCTAGCTTCTAAAAGCTGCCCACACTCCTTGAATCATGGCCCCACCCTTCATCTTCAAGGTCAGCAGTGTAGCATCTTCAAAAGTCTGTCTCTCTGCTTCTGTCACAATTTGCTTACTCTGACTCTGCTGTCTCCCTAGTAAAAAGATAACCTCCCGAGGTGGAGCCAAGATGGCCAAATAGGAACAGCTCCAGTCTACAGCTCCCAGCGTGAGCGACGCAGAAGACGGGTGATTTCTGCAGTTCCAACTGAGGTACCGGGTTCATCTCACTGGGGAGTGTTAGAAAGTGGGTGCAGGACAGTGGATGTAGCACACCGAGCCTGAGCTGAAGCAGGGCGAGGCATTGTCTCACCTGGGAAGTACAAAGGGTCAGGGAATTCCCTTTCCTAGTCAAAGAAAGGGGTCACAGATGGCACCTGGAAAATCGGGTCACTCCCACCCTAATACTGTGCTTTTCCAATGGTCTTAGCAAACGGCACACCAGGAGATTATATCCCGCGCATGGCTCAGAGGGTCCTACGCCCACGGACCCTTGCTCATTTCTAGCACAGCAGTCTGAGATCAAACTGCAAGGCAGCAGTGAGGCTGGGGGAGGGGCGCCCACCATTGCCGAGGCTTGAGTAGGTCAACAAAGCAGCCTGGAAGCTCGAACTGGGTGGAGCCCACCGCAGCTCAAGAAAGCCTGCCTGCCTCTGTAGACTCCACCTCTGGGGGCAGGGCATTGCCAAACAAAAGGCAGCAGAATCCTCTGCAGACTTAAATGTCCCTGTCTGACAGCTTTGAAGAGAGTAGTGGTTCTCCCAGCACACAGCTGGAGATCTGAGAATGGACAGACTGCCTCTTGAAGTGGGTCCCTAACCCCCAAGTAGCCTAACTGGGAGGCACCCCCCAGTAGGGGCAGACTGACAGTTCACATGGCCAGGTACTCCTCTGAGACAAAACTTTCAGAGGAACGATCAGACAGCAACATTTGCTGTTCCCCAATATCCACTGTTCTGCAGCCTCCGCTGCTGATACCCAGGCAAACAGGGTCTGGAGTGGACCTCCAGCAAACTCCAACAGACCTGCAGCTGAGGTCCTGACTGTTAGAAGGAAAACTAACAAACAGAAAGGACATCCACACCAAAACCCCATCTGTACATCACCATCATCAAAGACAAAGGTAGATAAAACCACAAAGATGGGGAAAAAACAGAGCAGAAAAACTGGAAACTCTAAAAATCAGAGTGCCTCTCTTCCTCCAAAGGAATGCAGCTCCTCATCAGCAACGGAACAAAGCTGGATGGAGAATGACTTTGATGAGTTGAGAGAAGAAGGCTTCAGACGATCAAACTACTCCGAGCTAAAGGAGGAAGTTCGAATCCATGGCAAAGAAGTTAAAAACCTTGAAAAAAAATTAGACGAATGGCTAACTAGAATAACCAATGCAGAGAAGTCCTTAAAGGACCTGATGGAGCTGAAAACCAAGGCATGAGAACTACGTGACGAATCCATAAGCCTCAGTAGCTGATTCAATCAACTGGAAGAAAGGGTATCAGTGATGGAAGATCAAATGAATGAAATGAAATGAGAAGAGAAATTTAGAGAAAAGAAAATAAAAAGAAACGGATAAAGCCTCCAAGAAATCTGGGACTATGTGAAAAGACCAAATCTATGTCTGATTGGTGTTCCTGAAAGTGATGGGGAGAATGGAATCAAGTTGGAAAACACTCCACAGGATATTATACAGGAGAACTTCCCAATCTAGCAAGGCAAGCCAACATTCAGATTCAGGAAATACAGAGAACGCCACAAAGATACTCCTCGAGAAGAGCAACTCCAAGACACATAATTTTCAGATTCACCAAAGTTGAAATGAAGGAAAAAATGTTAAGGGCAGCCAGAGAGAAAGGTTGGGTTACCCACAAAGGGAAGCACATCAGACTAACAGCGGATCTCTCAGCAGAAACTCTACAAGCCAGAAGAGAGTGGGGGCCAATATTCAACATGCTTAAAGAAAAGAATTTTCAACCCAGAATTTCATATCCAGCCAAACTAAGCTTCATAAGTGAAGGAGAAATAAAATACTTTACAGACAAGCAAATGCAGAGAGATTTTGTCACCACCAGGCCTGCCCTACAAGAGCTCCTGAAGGAAGCACTAAACTTGGAAAGGAACAATCGGTACCAGCCACTGCAAAAACATGCCAAATTGTAAAGATCATCAAGGCTAGGAAGAAACTGCATCAACTAACGAGCAAAATAACCAGCTAACATCATAATGACAGGATCAAATTCACACATAACAATATTAATCTTAAATGTAAAGGACTAAATGCTCCAATTAAAAGACTCAGACTGGCAAATTGGATAAAGATTTGGCTGGATAAAGAGTCAAGACCCATCAGTGTGCTGTACTCAGGAAACCCATCTCACATGCAGAAACACACATAGGCTCAAAATAAAGGGATGGAGGAAGATCTACCAAGCAAATGGAAAACAAAAAAAGGCACCAGTTGCAATCCTAGTCTCTGATAAAACAGACTTTAAACCAACAAAGATCAAAAGAGACAAAGAAGGCCATTACATGATGGTAAAGGGATCAATTCAACAAGAAGAGCTAACTATCCCAAATATATATGCACCCAATACAGGAGGACCCAGATTTATAAGGCAAGTCCTTACAGACCTACAAAGAGACTTAGACTCCCACACAATAATAATGGGAGACTTTAACACCCCACTGTCAACATTAGACAGATCAACGAGACAGAAAGTCAACAAGGATACCCAGGAATTGAACTCAGCTCTGCACCAAGCAGACCTAATAGACATCTACAGAACTCTCCACCCCAAATCAACAGAATATACATTCTTCTCAGCACCACACCGCACTTATTCCAAAATTGACCACATAGTTGGAAGTAAAGCTCTCCTCAGCAAATGTAAAAGAACAGAAATGATAACAAACTGTCTCTCAGACCACAGTGCAATCAAACTAGAACTCAGGATTAAGAAACTCACTCAAAACTGCTCAACTACATGGAAACTGAACAACCTGCTCCTGAATGACTACTGGGTACATAATGAAATGAAGGCAGAAATAAAGATGTTCTTTGAAACCAATGAGTACAAAGACACAACATACCAGAATCTCTGGGACACATTCAAAGCAGTGTGTAGAGGGAAATTTATAGCACTAAATGCCTACAAGAGAAAGCAGGAAAGATCTAAAATTGACACCCTAACATCACAATTAAAACAACTAGAGAAGCAAGAGCAAACACATTTAAAAGCTAGCAGAAGGAAAGAAATAACTAAGATCAGAGCAGAACTGAAGGAAATGCAGACACAAAAAACCCTTATAAAAACCAATGAATCCAGGAGCTGGTTTTTTGAAAAGATCAACAAAATTGATAGACCGCTAGCAAGACTAATGAAGAAGAAAAGAGAGAAGAATCAAATAGATGCAATAAAAAATGATAAAGGGGATATCACCACTGATCCCACAGAAATACAAACTACCATCAGAGAATACTATAAACACCTCTATGAAAATAAACTAGAAAATCTAGAAGAAATGGATAAATTCCTTGACACATACACCCTCCCAAGACTAAACCAGGAAGAAGTTGAATCTCTGAATAGACCAATAACAGGAGCTGAAATTGAGACAATCATTAATAGCTTACCAACCAAAAAAAGTCCAGGACCAGATGGATATGCAGCCAAATTCTACCAGAGGTACAAGGAGGAGCTGATACCATTCCTTCTGAAACTATTCCAATCAATAGAAAAAGAGGGAATCCTCCCTAACTCGTTTTATGAGGCCAGCATCATCGTGATACCAAAGCCTGGCAGAGACACAACAAACAAAGAGAATTTTAGACGAATATCCCTGAAGAACATTGAGGCAAAAATCCTCAACAAAATACTGGCAAACCGAATCCAGCGGAACATCAAAAAGCTTATACACCATGATCAAGTGGGCTTCATCCCTGGGATGCAAGGCTGGTTCAACATACGCAAATCAATAAACATAATCCAGCATATAAACAGAACCAATGACAAAAACCATATGATTATCTCAACAGATGCAGAAAAGGCCTTTGACAAAATTCAACAACCCTTCATGCTAAAAACTCTCAATAAATTAGGTATTGATAGGACGTATCTCAAAATAATAAGAGCTATCTATGAGAAATCCACAGCCAATATCATACTGAATGGGCAAAAACTGGAAGTATTCCTTTTGAAAACTGGCACAAGACAGGGATGCCCTCTCTCACCACTCCTATTCAACATAGTGTTGGAAGTTCTGGCCAGGGCAATCAGGCAGGAGAAGGAAATAAAGGGTATTCAATTAGGAAAAGAGGAAGTCAAATTGTCCCTGTTTGTAGATGACATGATTGTATATCTAGAAAACCCCACTGTCTCAGCCCAAAATCTCCTTAAGCTGATAGGCAACTTCAGCAAAGTCTCAGGATACAAAATCAATGTGCAAAAATCACAAGCATTCTTATACACTAACAACAGACAAACAGAGAGCCAAATCATGAGTGAACTCCCATTCACCATTGCCTCAAAGAGAATAAACCACCTAGGAATCCAACTTACAAGGGATGTGAAGGACCTCTTCAAGAACTACAAACCACTGCTCAATGAAATAAAAGAGGATACAAACAAATGGAAGAACATTCCATGCTCATGGGTAGGAAGAATCAATATTGTGAAAATGGCCATAGTGCCCAAGGTAATTTATAGATTCAATGCCATCCCCATCAAGCTACCAATGACTTTCTTCACAGAATTGGAAAAAAATACTTTAAAGTTCATATGGAACCAAAAAAGAGCCCTCATTGCCAAGTCAATCCTAAGCCAAAAGAACAAAGCTGGAGGCATCACACTACCTGACTTCAAACTATACTACAAGGTTACAGTAACCAAAACAGCATGGTACTGGTACCAAAACAGAGAGGTAGACCAATGGAAGAGAACAGAGCCCTCAGATATAATGCCACATATCTACAACCATCTGATCTTTGACAAACCTGATAAAAACAAGAAAGGGGGAAACAACTCCCTATTTAATAAATGGTGCTGGGAAAACTGGCTAGCCATATGTAGAAAGCTGAAACTGGATCCCTTCCTTACACCTTATACAAAAATTAATTAAAGATGGATTAAAGACTTAAACGTTAGACCTAAAACCATAAAAACCCTAGAAGAAAACCTAGGCAGTACCATTCAGGACATATGCATGGGCAAGGACTTCATGTCTAAAACACCAAAAGCAATGGCAACAAAAGACAAAATTGACAAATGGGATCTCATTAAACTAAAGAGCTTCTGCACAGCAAAAGAAACTACCATCAGAGTGAACAGGCAACCTACAGAATGGGAGAAAATTTTTGCAATCTACTCATCTGATGAAGGGCTAATATCCAGAATCTACAATGAACTCAAACAAATTTACAAGAAAAAAAACAACCCCATCAAAAAGTGGGCAAAGGATATGAACAGACACTTCTCAAAAGAAGACATTTATGCAGCCAACAGACACAGGAAAAAATGCTCATCATCACTGGCTATCAGAGAAATGCAAATCAAAACCACAATGAGACACCATATCACACCAGTTAGAATGGCGATCATTAAAAAGTCAGGAACAACAGGTGCTGGAGAGGATGTGGAGAAACAGGAACACTTTTACACTGTTGGTGGGACTGTAAACTAGTTCAACCATGGTGGAAGTCAGTGTGGCGATTCCTCAGGGATCTAGAACTAGAAATACCATTTGACCCAGCCATCCCATTACTGGGTATATACCCAAAGGATTATAAATCTTGCTGCTATAAAGACACATGCACACGTATGTTTATTGCGGCACTATTCACAATAGCAAAGACTTGAAACCAAGCCAGATGATCAACAATGATAGACTGGATTAAGAAAATGTGGCACATATACACCATGGATACTATGCAGCCATAAAAAAGGATGAGTTCATGTCCTTTGTAGGGACATGGATGAAGCTGGAAACCATCATTCTCAGCAAACTATCACAAGGACAAAAAACCAAACACCTCATGTTCTCACTCACAGGTAGGAATTGAACAATGAGAACACATGGACACAGGAAGGGGAACATCACACTCTGGGGACTGTTGTGGGGTCGGGGGAGTGGGGAGGTATGGCATTTGGTGATATACCTAATGTTAAATGACGAGTTACCGGGTGCAGCAAACCAACATGGCACATGTATACATATGTAACAAACCTGCACGTTGTGCACATGTACCCTAAAACTTAAAGTATAATTAAAAAATAATAATAATAAATAAAATAAAATAAAAGATAACCTCCCATCTCACACCCTTTATCACATCTGCAAAGTTCCTTTTGTTACGTAGATTAACATATTTGCAGATTCTGAGATTAGAACATCTCAGAATGGACATCTTTGCAGGGCCATTTTTCAGCCTACCTTACATAGCTATTTATTTTTCCAAGGAAATAAAAAAGAATTACCTGCATTCTCCAGGATAACTAGTTGTAAAGTTCAGGTCACAGTCGCACCTCATAAATATTGTCTCAAGCTTTTCTCCCCAGTTCTGCAGCTGCATAACCAAACACCATTGTGCTAGTAGAAGCTCATCCACTCAGCTGCATAACCAAACACCATTGTGCTAATAGAAGCTCATCCACTCAGCTGCCTGGTTTCTGCTAACTCAGCTGGGAGCCTATAAATTTGGTGAAGCTGTATTTGTGGGAATCCTTTCTCGGGTTTAGAGGGGTGGAGAGCTAGGCCTACAACCTTCTTTTAAACAGGCAAAAACTGAAACTGTTTAACTGAAAGTACTGTCAAATATTTTCATGTAAAATGAAAATGTAGACTTTTTATGACTTGCAGGGCTCTTAGGGGATCTATTTAATGAATTGTCTCATTTTACCAGCAATAAAACTATCGAGGAGAAAGATCAAGTCAAGCTCACCAGCCTCTGAGTAGCAAACCTCAGACTTGGTTTCCTTATCTTCTGCTCCACTGCCAGGAAGGAAGAAAGGAAGGCAGTAAGTAAAAAGGGAAGGAAGGAAGGGAGGGAGGAAAGAAAAAGAGGATTAGTTCATGTCCTTTGTAGGGACATGGATGAAATTGGAAATCATCATTCTCAGTAAACTATCGCAAGAACAAAAAACCAAACACCACATATTCTCACTCATAGGTGGGAATTGAACAATGAGATCACATGGACACAGGAAGGGGAATATCACACTCTGGGGACTGTGGTGGGGTGGGGGGAGAGGGGGAGGGATAGCATTGGGAGATATACCTAATGCTAGATGATGAGTTAGTGGGTGCAGCGCACCAGCATGGCACATGTATACATATGTAACTAACCTGCACATTGTGCACATGTACCCTAAAACTTAAAGTATAATAATAAAAAAAAAAGAAACAAACAAAAAAAAAAGAGGCAGATATGCAATTTAAAGGGCAAATTAGTTATCTGGGTGATGAGCGTTGCACACCTCTGCTCTGTTTCCACTTGTAGTCACTAATAAATAATCTCAATGTTAAAAATAAACAATAAAAAAAAAGAAAAAGAGGATTAAAATCATTCGAAAACCAAAATTCAAAGAGATCCAGTGTGTCCACTCAAGTGCAGACATCTGATATAGTCAGCTCTTGATTAATGATGATAAAGGTGAAGAGAGATGAAAGTCATGTATAATTCTAAACCCTGATTAAAACAAAACTAGTCTGAATCTGGTAGCAAGTAAATTTATATAAACATATTTTATTGTAATTATATCTAATATTTAGGAACACATTTACCACTCCACAGATGCCCAAAAGTGTAAAAATAACCCTAGTGCAACTCATTAGGAACACTAAACACCAAATGTGTCACTTGATGAGAAACTGCTAAAGGCTTGCTAATAAATAGTCTAATTTCTATTTGCTTCCCAGTTAATCTCGTTTTTAAAAATGTTAGAACACAACTAAGTTGGGCAGAGGAGTAATCTCAATGCTTAGATCTTCCTCTGTCTTCTCCTTCTCACTTAATTTCTCAACCCTGTCTTTAGAGTTCTTGAATCCATGGCCCTCCTAATCCCATTTGGTTTTGCTTACAGTAAACAAAAGCTTCCTTTTTGAGGGACCATTGACTCTGGGATGGAGCCCAGAAATAACCTGGTGGTCTCACTAGAGGGGTTCTGATGATTACCAGGCACCTGCAACAGAAGCCTTCAGATATGTGGACGTTTGCACTGATTGGGGGTAATTTTTCTATTTTATGCACTTTTAATGCATTTTCTATTAATCAACAAACAGAGAACACAACCCCAAATAACTGAGCAATGACCACGGCTAAAAAGCTGGAATGTGAATTCAGCTTTCCGGGATTCCCAAGCTTCTTACTGCCCACAAAGCAGGACACAGACATGCAGAGATATGTGCTCAAAAACTGTCTTAAAGCCGTATACAAAGACAGCATCACTTTGAATTATGCTACAAAACAGTGCCTGAAAGTTGTGTATGAAGTAAATTTCCATTACAAGAATCACAAATTGATATTTTATTTTGAAGCTATTTACAGAGATGTGTTACACAAGTCCTAAAAATGTGTCTCCCTGACCATGCCACATGCATGGGCAGAGGAACACAGGCACACACATGTACATATACACAAGCCCCTTCACCTGGCTGACTTTTTCATCACTCCTCATCACTTCATCAGGCAAGTCTTCCCAAACCCTCCAGACTCAGCTCAATCCCCCTCATCTTCTCATTGTCTCTGTAGCTCTTACCATAGTTGCCAACTGATTCATTATTTGTTAGCAGAATAGGATAGTGTTTAAGTGTCAGATTCTCAAGCCAATCTTCCTAGGTTCAAATATCAGTTCTGTCACCTACTGGTTGTGGGATCTTGAGCAAGCTCCTTAACCTTGCTTTGCCTCAGTTTCCTCAACTGCAAACTAGAGATCAGAGTTCCATCTTCTGGGATTATTGAGTGGAACATGTGAGATAACGCATGTAAAATATTTGGGAAAGTGTCCAGTACATAGTAAGTTCTATACAGGTATTTGCTATTATTATTTATCAGCTGTGAGCATCACTCATTATGCTGTAAGGTGCACAAAGGCTGGAATTGTTTCTGTATTTCCCACTCCTCATATCTGCTTTCAAATAGTTTTTGGAGGAAGAAAGTTGTGAAATCCCAAAGTTTCCTCTGCCATCACTAAATCTCTTCATCTCATTCACAGCTCTGCCACATTCTCTACGGTCACCACCATTGGAGTTGCTGTCACCACAGCTACCACAGCCCCTTTACTGACACATCCAAATACCTTAAGTTCAAAAGGCTGTGGCATCAGATTCAGAAAGAAGAGTGCTAATTCTAAAAGATAGCCATTCGAGCAGCAGCAATGTAACAGATGTTTTGTTGATTTAGCAATTATTTCAAAGGTAACAAAAACTCTGGCTAACAATAGAGGAGGAAGGAGCTTACGCTCCAGAAGAAACACACCAACAACTACAAATTCACAGCCACTATCCACCAAGGGGGTACAAAATAATAGTAAGAATAACAATAACAAAAACAACAATGAAAGCACTAAGATGCTTTCAAGGGAGGCACCATAGCAGAGTCGTCATGAGCACAAGACCTGGATCCTGCCAATCTGGGTCTCAAGCCCATCTCTGTTACTTACTAGCTGTGAAACGCTGAGCTGTTTCTTAATTTTTACGTGATTTAGCTTCCTCTCTGAAAAATGAAGATAAAAATAGTATCAGCACCACTACAGTATTACTATAAGGACTAAAGAATTACCTTTTGTAGAGAACTTGGAACAGTGACTGGCACATAAAAAGTATTCAATTAATGTTGGTTATTTTTGTTAATTGAAAGAGTTTTCACAGACATATCTCAAAGGACCAGCACTGAGAGTTTTCCACACATATATTATGCAGACACACACACACCCAAGACCTTTTTCCCGACACCTCACATTAACACTACACTTTGATACAGTGTGTACTCTCTCAGGCCCTTTCCTTGGGCTCTTACACAAAGCCAAGAGTTCTGCCTGTTGCTCTTTTCCCTGATGTGACTATTACCTGTGTTAAGACAGGTATCTTAACATGCATAGATCTTAAATCAATCTATGCATGGCTACCATTATTTCACTGCAGAACACGGACTAATAGTCCCAGCTTTACTTCTCAATCGAGGCTTTCTGTAAGAAGAAGAGCTTCCTATCCAGGTTTTCTTATGAACACACAAAGACCAATCTTTTATCCATGGCCTAACCCAGTGTTTACCAAACTTGAATACATCTGAAGACTTGCAAAGCTCTATCAATTTCTGTCTGAGAGACATATTCCAACCCTTAAATTTATGAAAGACTCAACAAGCTGAAAAAGCAAGCAATACAATTTCAGAGAAGTAGTTTATCCAAGGATACATGGACAGTAAAAAGTAGAACTATGCCTTAAAACCCTTCTTTTGACTTTAGTACAATGTTTTCTTTTAAATTTTATTTATTCAAGAAGTTTGGAATTTAGAAATCATGGAGATGATTGGGCAAACCTAATACTAAAGGAAAAGTCAGATAATCCATAATATCATTGCTTTTTATCCCATTAAAAAAGCTGAGAATACTAATAAAGCTAACTTAACTAAAATCTGTATAGTTATGATCCCGTTCTATAAAAGAAGAGACCAGTGAATTTTTTCATCCCTGGTGGTGCAGCAGGAAACAGAATCTACCACAGAAAAGAAAATGAGGAACTACATGAATCTTAGACAACTATTAAGACCTGTGTGTGAACTAGCTTGACATGCTGGAGTCCCAAGGAACCCATCCACACCATCAAGCTGTACTCACCTGCCAGCACTTTACCACAGGTCTTCACCAGGCACAGAGGAGGACTATACTGAAGACTGAGGGAAAGTCAAGAAATCTGAGAGAGAGAGATCCTTGAGGCATGTGAACCTTCCCTAAGTGCAAGGCAGCATCCCAGTGAAGACTGGAGTCAGGGCAGAAGAGTTAAAAGAAATCTGTCTGAGAAAGTCTAGGCCTTCACTAGGTCAAAACAGTTGCAACGGAGGCCAGAAATAAGGCAGAAGAACTGAGAACAGTTGCTCAGAGTGTTGCAAACTTTCATTAAGTACAAGGCACTGGATGCCAAAGGCTTGAAGCAGCAGAGCAAAAAGAAGAGAGACCTCCTGAGATTAATAAAGTCAGAAACAGGAAAGGAAAAAGAACTCCCTAGCAACCAAAACAGTCTGGGAGCACACAGAGATCTCTGAAATCTTGCCAGTGCTCAGATCACAAGCCCTAGTGATAGAAAAGACCTTATTCTGTTTTCAAAACATTTGAAGTCAGTGGTAAACTAATCCAACTAAAGCTGAAATAATCCCACATACCTCAAATATACAACAGATTTCCTCAACTTTCCCAAGAAAAGGTCTAACAAAAAAAGTATGCACTTTTTTAGGGTAAATAAATATTAATTTTCTCAATCTCTACTATTTTTCTCACAATATCCAACATAGAGTAAAAAATTTTGAGACCCACAAAGAGAAAAAATGTGAGCAATAATCAAATGAGAAAACAGTCAACAGGCTGAGACTCTAGAAAGCACAGACGTTAGATTTATCAGGGAGTAACTTCAGCATAACTATGATAAATATGTCAAATAATTCAGTGGAAAAGGTAGAGAGCATGCATGAATATATAGAGAATTTCAGCAGAGTAATGAAAAGTATGAAAAGAAACCAAACTGCAATGTCAAAATTTGTTTTTAAAATACACTGTCATCAAAAGAGAATACATATTAGGAGTCTAACAGGCCATAAAACACAACAGTAGCCTATTAGCAGCAGCAAAAAGCAGAAGTAAACCTGAGGACAGGTCAATTATCCAAAAATAAATAAATAAATAAAAGGGGGAATGAGTGAAAAACTTGAGTCTATGATCTCTAGGACAATATTAAGTAGCCTAGTAAATATGTAATTGCATCTGTGAGAGATAGAAAATGAGTCAGAAGAAATCCTTGAAAACATAATGGCCAAGAATTTCTCAAAATTGATTAAAAATATCAAACCTCAGCATCAGGAATCATAGTAACCCCAAAAGAGGATAAACACAAAAACAGAACTAGGCACACCATACTCACTCTGTTGATAGCCAAAGATGATACAAAAATCTTAAAAGCAGTCAGAGAAAAAAGAAACATTACACGGAAGAAAAAAATGATAAAAATTATGTCTAATTTCTCTTCAGAAACAATTACTCCAAAACAATGGAATGACATCTTTAAAGAGCTGAAAGTGAAACATGTTAGTCTGGAATTCTGTATAGGATTCTAAATAGATTCTACATAAAATTGTAGCATAGTCCTATATCCTACAAAAATGAAAAATAAAGACATTTTCATACCCTTCTCCCCAAATCAGATTTTTTTTCCAGGAGACCTACACAAGAAATGCTAAAAGAAATTCTTCAGGGCCGGGCGCGGTGGCTCACGCCTGTAATCCCAGCACTTTGGGAGGCTGAGGCAGGCGGATCACAAGGTCAGGATTTCGAGACCATCCTGGCTAACATGGTGAAACCCCATCTCTACTAAAAATACAAAAAATTAGCCAGGCCTGGTGGCAGGCGCCTGTAGTCCCAGCTACTCGGGAGGCTGAGGCAGGAGAATGGCATGAACCCAGGAGGTGGAGTGTGCAGTGAGCCTAGATAATGCCACTGCACTCCAGCCTGGGTGACAGAACGAGACTCCGTCTCAAAAAAAAAAAAAAAAGAAAAAAGAAATTATTCAACATGTACATAATAGGCACATAAAATAGGCACAACAAACCATTTGGCAAAATCCAACATCCATTCCTCATAAAACGACTCAGTGAAAAAGAAACTGAAGAGAATTTTCTCAACCAAAAAAAAGCACCTATGAAAATGTATTATACTGAAAGATAAAAGACCAGAACAAGACAAGAATTTTTACTCTCAACACTTCTATTCAACTTTGTCCTGGAAGTTTCAGCTAGTACAATAAAAAAAGAAAAGAAAAATAAATAAGCACAGAAATCAGAAAAGAAGAAATAAAACTGTCTTTATTCACAGACAATATGATCATTTGTATAGAAATGTGATGGAATCGAGAATCAAAGCTACTTGTACTAATAAGTAAGCTTAGCAAGATTTCGGGATACAAGATTGGCATATAAAATCAACTGAATTTCTATATACTAGCAACAAGTTATTGGAAATTGAATGTTTTAAATGTCGCTAATGATAACATAAAAATATATAAAATAGGGATAATGTACATAAAAGATGTGGAAAACCTATAAACAGAAATCTTAAAACATTGTTGAGAAAAAATAAAGAAAAAACAAAATAAATAGATATATTAATTAGCCAGTAATATATAAAATATTACTCAATATTTTAAAGATGTCATTTCTTCCCAAATTATTCTACAGATTCCAGCAAATTCCAATCAAAATCCCAGGAGGACTTTTGTAGAAATTGACAAAACACATATGAAAATGCAAAGAACCTAAAATAGTCAACAGCAACTATTTTTTAGCTCAGTGGCAAGAAACAATAGCAACTTTAAAAAAGAACAAACAAGTTGGGGGGTTAACGCTATTTGATTCAAGACTTCTTGTAAGTAATCAAATAAATGTAGTACTTGTAACATACACCAGTAGATCAATGAAGAAACAGACCTGGCCAGGCAAGGTGTCTCATGCCTGTAATCCCAGCACTTTGGGAGGCCGAGGTGGGAGGATCATCTGAGGTCAGGAGTTCAAGACCAGCCTGGCCAATGGTGAAACCCCATCTTTACTAAAAATACAAAAAAAGAAAAATTAGCCAGGCATGGTGACACATGCCTGTAATCTCAGCTACTCAGGAAGCTGAGGGAGGAGAATCACTTGAACCCCGGAGGCGGAGGCTGCAGTGAGCCAAGATTGTGCCACTGCACTCCAGCCTGGGTGACAGGGAGAGACTCTGTCTCAAAAAAAAAAAAAAAAAAAGAAAAGAAAGAAAGGAAAGAAAGAAAGAAAGACACCCCCACACATACATGAGCAAATGTTTTCCACAAGGATGCAAAGAAAATCTAATAGAGAAAGAAAGGATAGTCTTTTCAAAAACAATGCTGGAGCAACTGGATATCCACATGCAAAAAAGAAACTTGAATCTGCCCCTTAATATATCTATTTATTTTGCCACATGCAAAAATTAACTTAAAATGAATCATTGACTTAACTGAAAATAAAATGACAAAACTTCTTTTTAAAATAGGAGAATAACTTTTGTGACCTTATGATAGGCAGATTTTTCAGATATAACAAAAATAATCTACGAAAGAACAAACTGACAAATTGGACCTTATCAAAATTAAATGTACTGTTCTTCAAAAGATACTGCTAATAGAATAAGAAAATAAGCCACAGGATGGAAGAATATATTTCCAAATGATTTCTATAATTTTTTAAAAAACTAGTATCCAGAATACATAATGATTCAAAATAAATTGAATCACTGTATTCAAAAGAAATAACCCAATGTTTTAAAGGACAAAAGATTTGAACAGACACTTCAGCAAAAAAGATAATGAGTGGCAAATAAACACATGAAAAGAGTCTCAACATCATTAGTCATTATGGAAATGGAAATTGGAACCACAATGAGATGCCCCTTCATACCTGGGTAAATGGATAAAATTTTAAATATCAATAAACAAACAAATAAGTAGAAATTGACCATACCAAGCATTGGTAAAGATATAGGAGAACTGGAACTCTCATACACTTGATGGCAGAATTATAAAATAGTATAACCCATGGTCATTGGAGGAAACAGCATAGATGTTAATCAACAAATTAAAAATAAAACAACCATATGATCCAGCAATCCTACTTCTGGGTATTTATCCAAAGGAAATGAAATCAGTAAGTCAGTGAGATATCTGTACTTCTATGTTCATTGCAGATTATTCACAATTTCAAGACATGGAATCCACCTAAGTGTCTATTAATGGGAATAAATAAAATGTAGTATATATACACAATGGAATAGTATTCAGCCATTCAGCCATAAAAAATGAAATCTAATCATTTGTGACAACATAGATAAATCTGGAGGATATTATGCTGAGTGTAATAAGCCATGCACAGAAAGACAAATACTGTATGATCTTACTTTTATGTGGAATCTAAAAGAGTTGAACTCATAGAAGCAGAGAATTGAAAGATGGTTACCAGGGGCTTGTGAATGTGGGGACAATGTGGAGATGTTGGTCAAAGAGTAAAAAGTTTCAGTTAGACAGGAGAAATAAATTTTGGAGAATGATTACACAACATGGAGACTACAGTTAATAATAATCTAAACTTGAAATTGCGGAAAGAGATTTTAACTGTTCTTACCACAAAAAAATAAGCATGTGAGGTGATAGATATGTTAACAAGCTTGATGTAATAATTCCACAATCTATACATATATCAAAACATCACATTGTATACCATAAATGTATGCAATTTTTATTTGTCATTTAAGATATAGATTTGTAAATTAAATTAAATCATAAAATACTACAACTACTTTGAAAAACAGTAGACTTTTTTTTAAGGTTACCACAAAATCCAGCCATTTTACTATTGGGTATTTACCCAAGAGAAATAAAAGAATATGTCCACATAAGACCTGTACACAAATGTACATAGCAGCTTTATTTTTAATGGCCCAAACTAGAAAGAACCCAAATGTGCATAAACAGATGAATGGATAAAGAAACTATGGCACACCCATACAATGGAATATTACTCAGCAACAAAAATGAGTAAGTTATTGGTATGTGCTACATTATAGCTGAGCCTCAAAATAATTAGGCTGAATAACAAAATGAGTATAATCTATATGATTCCATGTGTATTACATTCTAGAAAATACAAACTAATATACAGTGATCAAAAGCAGATTAATGATTGCATAGGAATTGAGGAAGGTAGGGAAAGGCTAAAGGAAGGGATGACAAAGAGGCCATGGAAAATATGAAAGGACAATGGACATATTCATTATCTTGACTGTGATAGTTTTGTAGATGTATGTATATCTCAGAACATCACACTGTACCCTTTATGTGCATTTTATGGTAGGTCAATGTTATGAACTTAATTGTATCCTCCAAAATTCATATGTTGAAGTCTTACCCACCGTTACATCAGATTGTTACTATATTTCGAGATAAGACCTTTCAAGAGAGAACTGAGGTAAAATAAGGTCATACTGGTGGGCCCTTATCCAATAAAACTGGAATTTTGTTGTTGTTGTTGTTTTGGAAGAGAAGAGAAGATTAAGACACAGACCACAGGATGACCATGTAGGGACATAGCAAGAAAGTGACCATCTGCAAGCCCAGGAGAGAGGCCTCAGAAGAACTCAATCCTGCTGATACCTTCAACTGAATTTTAGCTTCCAGAAATGTGAATAAATACATTTCTGTATGTTTAAGCCACTCAGTCTGTGGTATTTTGTTATAGCAGTCGTAGTAAAGTAATACAGTCAATTATATGTCATTGGGGCTATTAAAATGAAAACAGGCCATGCATAGTGGCTCACACCTGTAATTCCAGCACTTTGGGAGGCCAAGGTGGGTAGATCAGTTGAACCCAGGAGTTCAAGACCAGCCTGGGTAAGATGGTGAAATCCCATCTCTACCAAAAAAAAAAAAAAAAAAAAATCAAAACAAAAAAACCCAGCCAGGCATGGTGGCATGTGCCTGTAGTCCCAGTTAGTAAAATAATTCGAACACTGCTACAATAAAGAAACTTACACAAGTCTCTTCGTGCACATGAGCTAGTATATTTTTAGAGGCAAAAAGTGGAATTTGATGATTAAAGTGTTTGTACTTAGAGTCTATGAACACATAAGGCATTAGGAAAAATATATATAGCTTCTATAACACTACCACAATTGATTCCCTTCTTAAAGTATAATAAATACTTAGTTGTGGTTTTTTAAATGTCCATAGTATAGTGAGAAACATATATACAAATAATCACAAAATGATGGAGTAAAAATTACAGCATCGGTATATAAAGCTATCCTATGGGTAAAAAGTAGGAAATTGCCTAAGAATGTCAAGGGAGGTTCACAAATTTAAAAACCAAAAAAAAAGGTATTTGAAATGAATCTTAAAGAACATGTAATCTGCCAAACTAAGTAACAGATAAAGGGAAGTCTTAGAAGAGGGAAACAGCATAACTTATCATCAAAAGTGTAGCTGCAACTGTCTCTTCAGATACCATCTGTATAGAAAGTCCTAGTAACTTCAGGAAAATCACAGATGTTAGTCAGAGCTGGAAATATTCTTCAACCAATTTTGCATTTTACAGATGTTGTATCTGAATCCCAAGCCCAGACTGACTTTCACAAAATCATAAACTTGTTCATGAAAAACTCAAGGGCTGAATTGAGGTCCACTTATTCTTAGTTCACTGCTTTTCTACATAATCATCTGCCTCCATAAAGCAACAAGGATGGTTTTTTAAAAACAAAACAAAACAAAAACAAAAAACCATTCCTACTGTAATAGATATGCCTTTATCCTAAATCCATCAGGTTCAAATCAACTATTTTCAAACAATATACAAAGATAATTTTATGGTATCTCTCTAGCCCCCAAAAATTCTAAATAGTCTTCTAACTTAGGTTTTATGGTTAAAGATGGCTTTTTTACTCTAATTTTTTTAATTGACAAACCATGAGTCCTAAGTAGCATAACTCTAGGTTTACCAAAATGTTATTTAAAAAATTTTTTTTTGTAGAGACAGGGTCTGTCTATGTTGGCCAGGCTGGTCTTGATCTCCTGGACTCAAGCAATCCTCCCACCTTTGCTTCCCAAAGTGCTGCGATTATAGGCCTGAGCCACTGCACCCAACATTACCAGACTATTATTAATAGAAAACTAATAAAATATTTATTAAATCAAAACTCCATATTGAATGTACGCTATGTGAAGTACACTGTATCAGGCACACATTGAAACTGGGCACCCAGTGACCTATTCCGCAATTTATTTGTGTTACTTAGTGGTTTAACTGATAAGATATGATATCAGAAATATCTGGGTTTCTATCCTGGCTCCACTTACTTCCTATGTGATCCTGGCAAATTTTCAAACATCTATATAATGAGCTAATAATACTACACAGTTCATGAGTTGTAATGAATATTAAATAAAATGAATTCAAAACACTCAATACATTGCTTGATACATAGTCAGTGGTCATCAGTAAGTATTAGTTGACATAATCCTAACCATCAGTTTCATCATCTTCACCTTGACATGATGGTCTAGTTCAAGGCCTTAGCTTAGGTTCTCTAGAAAACAGAGCCTGAATCAAGAATTAAGTGTTGATGCTTTCTTTGGGTTGTACGAACCAGGGGGGGAAAGGGAGATGTAGCAAAGAAGGATGGAAAGCCATGTAAAATGCTATTACCCTGCTGGTCACTGCTTCCCAATGAGCCATAAATAGGCATAGTGAATCACTCAGTAAAAGCACCTGCTTGGCCATACAGGACTTCAAATGAGCTTTGTGTATCTGTAATTGGAATAGTGCATGGGAAGGAGTAAGAAGGGGAGAGAGGTATTTGCTTTCTTCCTCCCATCTTCAGTTTCCCATTAGTCAAATATTGCTCCATGGGAATTAATACCATCACACTTCTGAGTTGTGTCATCTAGCTCTTCTGGTGGCCACTTAAGATGTCAGTCACCACACCAAGTACTGTGCAATTTCATCAGAGTGAATTTCAACTATGCATTCATAAACTGGAATTAAAATTTCAAAAGTCTAAAAAAGTGATGGGAGGAGTAAGAAATTCTGAATTGTAGCCAGTAAACCTGACTGCCCTGTAGCTACTGCCCAGTGACAGCAAGTATCACTGTCAAACCACTGACAGCATGGGCTGAGAAACAAGCCTGCCAAGGGAATCTAAAGCAGGACCTAAGATCTGGGTCATATATACTCTGGTCCTCACATGTCAACAACCTGTAATTAGAGACCGCTAATAAAGGTGTATTAGTCAGGTTTTGCTGCATAACAAACAACTGCCAAATCTCCATGGCTTAAAACAAAAAAAGTATTCACTTCCACTTCTCCCTCAGAGGTCCGCCGGTCAGCAGTGGATTAGCCGGGCTCAATTAGGCTCAGCTTGGCTCAAATTCAGGTTGGTTTCCTGTATCTCTCTGATCCTGGGACCCAGGCAAAAGGAGCTGTTGCTAACTATGGTGTGTCCTTCTCATGGCAGATGGTAGGAGCATAAGAGAGGCCAATGGAAACTTTCCATGCCTCCTAAAGCATTGGCTCAAAGCTGGCATGCTGGCACTTCTGTGAAAAACAGCAACAACAACTCACAAAACTCAAGTTTATAATCCACATTCTTCTAAAATGCCTTGCAGTGCCCCTAATATAACAAACTTCCATCTTTGATATTTTCATTTTTTCAGGATAATCCATACTCATCAATACCTAAAGTAGTATGAGTATTTCTCTTAATTAATTTGGTTTTCACAGTCACATTCTGAATCCTTTGAGGTGTCTATTCTTCTAAGTCATCTTCCTTGTACTAAAATCTAATTATTGAACACAAAAACAATTTTACTTCATTAGCAACACCATTTGTTCCCGTTAACACTCCCAGAGACAAAGGACATCTAGAGAAATGTAGAACTCCAAGTACTATACATTCATAAACTGGAATTAAAAGTTCCTAAGCAATAGGGTTTTGGATACCAAGAATAGCCTAGCTGTTCCCTAGCCTTCTTCCAAGCCCCATGTGTTTGCTTAGTTAACACACTAAACTTTTTTTTCTATTTTTTTTTCTTTTTTTTTCTTTTTTTTTTACTACTGCCAGCATTGCAAAGTCAAAATAGCTGTGGAGGAACAAGCTGTTCTGCCTCATGTCTCATCAACATTCCTTGCTCAGTGTATCAAAACACAGAGAGCATACAGAGCAAATGCAACAACTCTTCAAAAAGTTCCCTGTTGGGGATTTTCTTCCCGGGAAACCATCTACAACTGCCTACTTAAAACATCAGAAGAAAGGTGGGCCTCCTATTCAAATCCAAGTGAAGTCACAGCAAGCAAGTATGGATTTAAACTTGGGTTATGGATTTAAAGTTTGGATTTTTGCCCCTCGAAAAATATATAGGCCTGCATGAACTAATATCAAGATTAAAATGTGCAAACAAGTTTTCTTTCCTAAAGACCAATTTAAAATTTTGAGGTAAAGTTATTTCACCAGGTCATTGAGAAAAAAGTCATTGAACTAACATTTTAACCCAAATTTCCTTAGTCACCCGGGAAGAATTTTGATTTCAAATAGCAAGTATATTGGAAATAGTACCAAGCCAACTATATAAGATGGGTCCATTTAAAGAAAGCTAAATGGAAAGGTTGATAAGATGATCAAAGTCATTTCCCTTCAGATCACAGATCAGCTAATCACCTTTGCCTTTTAAGAGAGAAAAAAAATTAACAGGAGAATGATTAACCTATTTGTCCACGTTTAAACATACATAAAATCGGGTATTCAATTTACAGTCTTTCTCTTATTCATGATCTGATAAGTTAATACTTATTGTAAAGAAATAGTTTCTATTTGCATAGTTAAAACAAATGATATTTCATTTAACACAAAAATAGTTCACAGTCAGAATTTGGTTGATATCTGAAATGATACTTAATAACCACTACTACAATAACTTACAGATGAGTGGCTGTAACAACAGAGAGAACACTTGCTAGAAAGCAAGCAGTGATTTTTGAGCAGAACTCTGGCAAGAAATGGCTTCCTTCTCAGTAAAAACCAAGACGATCTAACCACCATCCACTTCTACCACTGCTTCTACCTCCTGCACCCTAAAGGGAAGAGTTTCCCAAGTATTCTTTTCAAGTGACCACAATAGACAATTGTGCCTAGACACATGGGAAGAGAGCCATATACCCCTACATTCCAGAAAAGCAATGAAATAGAAAGACCTATAAGAGGAACAACACAGTGTGAAATATAATACTTTAAGTCTAAAATGTGAGCCATTGCATTTAGATTATAGAAACTCATCATCCTGGGAGCATAGGTCATCCCTGAAGACAACAAATGCCAGCTTGGAGTAGATTATGAGGATTGTTATTTAGTACAGAAATTACAAGAGAAAATAGTACAGAGAAAAGAAGAGATTGTGAACAAGATGGACCAAAACTTGTTCACATCCTCTTCTTACTTTAAATATTTCACTTATGGCCAGGCACAGTGACTCGTGCTTGTAATCCCAGTGCTTAGGGAGGCTGAGGCAGGAGGACTGCTTGAGGCCAGGAGTTTGAAACTAGCCTGGGCAACAGGTAAAAAAATTAAAAATTAAAACATTAGCCACGTGTGGTGATTGCACCACTACACTCCAGCCTGGGCAACAGAGCAAGACCCTGTCTCTTAAAAAAAAAATCACTTCTATTTTAGTAATGAGATATTAGAAGACAACATAGAAGCGACTGGCACAAAGCCTGGGCCTTTCAGGTCAGTCCCTCCTTATCTCAGGATGTTGCATTCCCAGCACATTCTACAGTCTCTCTTGAGAACTACAGACGAAAAAGGAGGGGGAACTGGGTGGATACAAGGCCACCTGGAGAACTGTCCTGCATGTGGTAGGTCAACAAATATTTTTTAAGTGCTTACAATGCACTGCACAGTGGTTTTTGCACAGTGGTGAAAATGGATATCAAGAATGACAGTGAGGCAGGGAAACATCAGGCCTCACACTGAGTATAACAAAAATGCATTTTTTTAAGTTTGTTGTTTTAACAATTACATGAAGAATTCCTTGATTTATTAGGGCCAAGGCTAACCAGCTAAAATAAAGACACTGAACCATACTTTAAAAACAAAAGTTTGTATCTCTTCTCAAACAGCTCTGAGGAAAGCAATCCAATTTGGTGGGGTGGCTCTGCTCCATTTTGTCATTAGGGTTTCAGACTCCTTTCATCTTGTTCCACCCCCTTGGGCATCACTGTTACCTGCACAGTTGAAGCCCGGAGTTCAGCTGGAGGAAAAGGGAACACATGAAAGAGGCACTTCCACTGCCTTCAGGACTGGGATCAGGGTTTAGACACCTCACTTCTCCTCACATTCAATTGGTGAAAACTTAATCACGCCTGATGCAAGGGAGTCTGAGAAATGTGGTGTAGCCTCATTTTTTTTGTCTGTTTGTTTTTTGTCACTGTGTTGATGGGTCTCCTTACTGTGCAGCTTAGTCTTTGCCCTGAATAAGGGCACATGGAAAACAAAGAGAACAACTTTTGTTGGACAACTGCAATCCAACAAAGAATTTCTAAGGAATGTCATGAAAAAAGATGATTTTATATAGTACATTTTGAGTCTGTATATGAAAAATTATTTCTGCTCAGAATCTGGTCCTATCCTAGGAAAAAATTCAATGACAATTTTTAATTTCAGAAATAATCTAGAGTAAACCTGTATCACAAGAGAAAAATGAGGCCCAGATAAATGAAGTTGCCTACTCAAGCAGCTGGTAAGAGAAGCAAGACTGCAACCCACATTTACACATTCTTCTCAAGCCTGGCATGAATTCGCTAAATCATGCACTTGCTTAAGTCATATGAGCTCTCTAGATAGTCAACCAAAATGGTTTAAACTCTAGAGTGGATTTTTGTCCCCTGCCAAATTAGATGATTTGGCTTTCTAGCCAATTCAGAAGTCCCCGTAACTGCTAATGCTCTGTTTTATATTTTAATATAAAGAATGTATTTACGTGACAGAGGAAGTTGAAAGGATTTTTAAATATCCTTTCCTAGAAGAATCAGAACAATTCTGATATAAGGTGAATTTCTATTCGCCATTAACTCTCCCCATTGCAAAGCAGAATATTCTGTGTTCATTGCCACAAAAAAAAGGAATTTATGATGGCAGAAAGCAAAGTGAAAAAGACATATCTTTCAGACTCTTTTTGTTTCAAGGATCTAGGCTTGTTTCTCAACAGTGGAACTAATGACATTTTGAGCAAACAATTATTTGTTATAAGGGCCTGTCCTGTGCACTGTGGATATTTAGCAGCATCCTTGGCCACAACCCACTAGATGTCAATAAAACCCCTCAGCTCTCTAGATGTGACAACCAAAAATGTCTAGACATTGCTAAATGAGTTCCAGTTGAGAACTGTTGATTTAGGATGCTAAGGGAAGAGAAAAGAATCAAGACACAGACAAAAGATCTTAGAGAAAACATTATGAGTAGGCAAGAATTTGCCACTCCCCCACCCTACCTTCAAAACAAGGCTAGAAAAACATTCTTCAGCCAGAGTGATGGGAACAGAGTCAGAGAGGAAGTAAGGAGAACATGCATCAACAACAAACCCAGAGCCATTCTTTGGATCAAGTCCTGAAGAGGTGGCAACACCCCCAGACAGGTTTGTGGGGTTCAAAGGCAGAGACAACTTGCAATCCATTGTCCTAGTAAAGTGCTGGGACTGGGAGATGTCAATATCCCAGACAAGAGATAGTTGCAGAATCTATCTATATAAACCACAGTATGACATGGGAGCAGTGGAATAATTCCTGATCACTCAAGAGCGATCTGGCAATAGTGGAGAAAATGGCAGACCAGAAGGGGCCATGTCAATGGGAGCAAAGGCCATCTCTGCAGCATCCAGGGAAGAGCACTGATGGTGAATCAAGTGAAGGATGCTCAGGGACACCAGGATAGCTTAGCGATGTTAAGAATTTGTGGGCTCTGCCCCAACATCACATCTTACTGCTACTTAATACAACTCTAGAGAAACAGAAAGCATTCTCCAAATCAAGTAAGATTAACTGTCTGCCACTCTAATTTAAAAAGGGACTCTGTATTAGTTTCCCAGGGCTGCCACACAAATTACCACAAACTGGGTAGCTTCAAGCAACAGAAACTTATCCTCTCACAGTTCTGGAGACGGGAAGTCTGAAGTTGTCGGCAGGGCCATGCTCCCTCTGAAGTCTCTGGGGAAAAAAAAAAAACTTTCCTTGCCTCTTCTAGTTTCTGGTGGTTGTCAGAATTCCTTTGTATTCCTTGACTTGTAGATGAATCTCTCCAATCTCGGCCTCCATCCTCTCATGGTTGTCTCCCCTGTGTGTCTATGTCCAAATTCCCTGTTCTTATTAGGGCACACCCTCACCCAGTTTGACCTCACCTTAACTTGATTACCTCCACAAAGTCTCCATTTTCAGATAAGGTCACAGTCACAGATTCTAGGTGGACATCAATTTGTCAGGGGTAGGGGGATGGGGAGAGGCAGATATTGAACACAGTTCAAGCTGTAACAGAACTTAAACAAGCTTTAGAAAAATAGTTATATCTTTTGCCTGCCTGAGTTTGTAATTTAAAGTTTGTACCAATCGTAGGCAATAAGGAAAAGTGTTACCATACCAGCAATTGCTAAAAATAGTATATTCTAGATCTTCAATAATAAACCATTCCTCTACTATGATTCTGAGAAAGATTTAGATTCTTCTTTCAGCTATGCCATAACATGTTAAACCATCCACTATAAAGGAAAATCACTGACACATATAATTAGTACTTAAACCCTTTTTTGAAAAAAATAACTGTTCAAATAAAAAGAAGATAGTACGAAGAACTTCCACCTCACTTGCTATGAGAAACTGTTCTGCATCATGAGCTTTTCTTCTCTTGCAAAACTGGTCAGGTATATCATGGTACTAATACTAAGGAAGAGCATTCATGTTTAGTATGTGACTATTTTGAGAAAGGCAAAAGAGGAGAGGTCAAGAGAAAGAAAATAGTCTCATCAACAAAAAATAAAAAGTCATATAACTCATAAGTGAACCCCCAAATATGCCCACATTGACAGCAATTCACATTTCCTTCTATTTTAATCCATAGCAGTAAAATAGTCATCTAAAGCCAGGCACAGTGGCTCACACCTGTAATCCCAACACTTTGGGAGGCGGAGGCAGGTGGATCACCTGAGGTCAGGAGTTCGAGACCAGCCTGGCCAACATGGTGAAACCCTGTCTCTACTAGAAATACAAAATAAATAAATAAATAAATAAATAAATAAATAAATAAATAAATAAGCCAGGCATGGTGGCGGGTGCCTGTAATCCCAGCTACTCAGGAGGCTAAGGCAGGAGAATTACTTGAACCTGGGAGGTAGAGGTTGAAGTGAGCTGAGATCACACCACTGTACTACAGCCTGGGCGACAGAGTGAGACTCAAAAAAAAAAAAAAAAAAAAAAACTCATGTAAAATAAGAAAACATCAGCAACACCCCAAGCTGATGTGGGAAATTCTGATGGAAAAAAAGCATAGGGCTTATTATAGCAGTCAACGTGTCTTTTTAAAAAATCTATTTATCTATTTGCAGAAGGGAGGACTATCATAAAGAAGTTAAAACGAAAGAAGACAAAACTGTCATTCCCCCACTGACAGGCAGGCTGAGTGGTGGCGAGCAGAACTGACTAAACAAGCCACCCCTTGGTAAGGAGCAGAGTGAAGCCTGTAGTGTCACACTGTCCTTCCCACACTGCCCTGCCAGCACCATGACTACTACCTCCACCGTCAAAGACATGCATTTACATATACACAGGCACAAATTAGATCACGGGAATGTGTGTGAAGCAGGTTCACTGTGCACTGGCTACCATTTGTCTGAGTCCAGTGAGACAGAACACCCACACATACAACAAGTTACATAAGTGGATTTATTACTTACAGATAAGCAGCAAGAGAAAAAAAAAATGCCTAGGATTCATGACGAGCCTGTCCCCTCAAGGCTCAGGAAAGCTGCCTGGGGAAGACAAAATCTCATCAGTATGTGCCCCACTTGCACCACAGCCGAGGGACCCCCAACAGGTAGCCTGCCTTGGGTTTTATACTGTAGGGACAGTATGACATACTGGGCCAAAGTGACTTTCTGTTTATAGAGGGGACTGGCACAATGGACTGTTCAGGTCAGCCCCTCCTTATCTCAGGATGTTGCATTCCCAGAACATTCTACAGTTTCTCTTGAGAACTACACACAAAAAAGGAGGGAGAACTGGGTAGGTCCAAGGCCACCTGGAAAACTGTCCTGCATGTAGTAGGTCAACAATATATTGTAAGTGCTTACAATGCACTGTACAGTGGTTTTGCACAGTGGTGAAAATGGATATCAAGATTGACAGTGAGGTAGGGACAAATCAGACAAAGGAGACGTGATCTGAGAGACTGTATGGGGGCACTATAGCTTGGCAGTGACCATTTGCCAAGTGGTCACTGCCAAGCCATAGTGCTCCCTCGCAGTCAGTCCCATCTCTGTCACCCTAATGAGCTGGAGAATAGGAGACTAATGTCCATTGAATACAGGCCCACAAATCTTTTTTAGAATTTTTCTTCTCCCTTTACTTCATCCCTAATCATGTCATTGTATTATTCTAATCACATGACATTTTCACCAAAGAGAGAAGAAATACAAAGAAATTCGAACTTTGAGGTTTGTGGAGATCAGGTTACTTGCTAAACCCTAAATGTGATTCTGATAATATTTAGCACAGATGAATCCTTTGAAGCAGAATTACATAAAATTTCTCAATCATATTCACTATTTATTTTGTGTTAATCAATCAATCCAGTGTATTGTTGAAAAATGTGGCAAATTGAATCAGTTTCTAATACATCCAAACATAACATCTAGAGGAGTTACTAGTCTAGTTGTTTGATTGCCCAGCTGTGTCCTTAGTACATTTAAGTATTTAGTAAATAGTAAGTTAAAATTACCTCCTATTCATAAAGAGAAGCATAATTAAATGATCTATTCATTTATCCATCTATCCAGCCAACCAGCCAGCCAATAATACTTATTAACTACCTAATATAGACCAGACATTGCCCTAAGCAATTAAGGCTATCAAGAAGAAAAGAAATAATCTGTGTCCTCAAGAAATACATAATATTGAACAGTAGACTCAAATATGTTTTATTGTACACCATCATCAGCTAAAAAAATTGGGCATATATACCCAGTACCACAAATGTATATTTACTTGTTTATAAATTACAAATAAGTACTATCATAATAATATACTGCATGTATAGATAATATATATAACAATGCTAATATTTTGATACAGTAAATATAGAGAGACATAATATACACCAGGAAAAAATGACACAAAAATGATAGTTAAAAGAAGTGAAATAAAAAATAAATAGTTCTAAGTAGAGTAAGAGAAAGAGTTCCAAAAAAAAAACGAACCAGACCCTTAAATCAGCAGCATCAAGGACAGTATCCAAGATAACAAGTGACTGCCTTTTGGCCAGGGTACTCCTGAGATAAAATCTACTAGGTACCATTTTCTGCTTAACCCAGACTACCCTTTCCCATCATTATAATTGCAACAGACAACCTCAACATCTCAAGGAGTAGAAGATAACGTTAGCTAGTCCTACATAAATAACTTGAAATACCAACTTTGGAGATACGGAAAAGTTTTACTTTGGAAAATCCAAGATCTCCTTAGGTTTAATTTGATGTGGAAACTTAAAAGAGACTTCAGAAAACTGGCTGAAGCTTAAGTAGAAAAAATATATTTCCCATAATTTCTCCTGTGTAGTCATTAATAACATAACAATGAAAAGCCAAATTCTGCCACATTATTAGCAACCATCCTTCTATTACTAAAAAGAATGATCTTGTCATTGACAGATGCTAAGACTCAGTGGTTTGAATCCCACCATGTGTTACAAATTAAAAGGGCTAACATCACAATAACACTAATCTTGAAAAAATAGGAGAAAAATAATTGTTAGGAGCTGTAGGACCAACATTTAAATGAACCCACATACGATAGTCCAAAAAAGCCACACATAAAATTAGGTAATATATTAGTCCAGTTAGTTAATTGAGCAAGTCTAAGTCCACTCTGCCTAAAGCATTAAGCCGTATCTATGTTTTAATTTCTACGAAAGGAGTAGATATTAGTTTATGCATAGGAAAAACGATTTTTAAAAACATTATTTGTATATGGGAAGGGGCTGGAACAAGGAGAATGTTTAACCTTCTTAAACATCCATGTCTCTAAGTTTAATTTTTTGTAAGGATAATATACCATTCTTATAAGGAAAATATATAACTTTTTAACAAACAAACAAAAAACTCTATTAAAAAAATAGCACAGTGTAACAAAAACCATATCAAACTAAAAATCAGAAGACTTCGGTTCTAAAAAATCAGTGCTGCCATTCACCAATCATGAAATAAATGGCCATTAATATTGGTGGTGGTTGTGGTGCTAGTTCTGGCTCTGGTGCTGGTTGTGGTTGCTGTTACACTGGTCATGGTTCCATCCATTGATTCCAAAGGATACCCTAAACTTTCCCAAGTCTCCTCTTCTGAAAGTCGGCCTCTTTCATGTATATTGTGTGCCAGCATTGCCCCCTACCAACGATATGTTGCGTTACAGCCTGCTCAAAAAGATTGTTTTTCCACCTGTTCCTGCTGAGGCATGACTCCTCTAAACCTGAACGGCCCCGATTTCTAGTCTGGCATCCACCTCTAAATAGCTGCAGCACCTAGGACAAGCCCTCTAACTAACTCTCTGCTTGTGAGAACGTTCCAGGCACATATGTAAAAGTGAGGCTGCCTTTTCTCCTGTACTGCCTGAGGTAACATAGAGTGATTCGTGGGTAGCTTCTTGAATTTTATTTCAGCAAACATTTAGCAAGTGCTATTACGTGCTACATACTGTGCTAAGAGCTGGAGGTATGAACATGAATGAAATATGGCCCCTATCCTTAGTGTCCACGGTGTCTCAAGTTTGTATATGGAAATAACATTTTGTTTGTATATGGAAAAGAACATTTTCTTTCACAAGTTCATTTGTTCATGTTAACAGACGAAAAAGCCATGGGTGTATGCTCAAGGAGCTCACTTATTAACATTTGGTTTATAATTTTATACAAGAACAGAAGTGAAAGGTGTTTTTTTTAATCTTTGAGTGAGTCAATACACATCTACTGAGCATTTACTATTTACAAGGCCCTAGGCTTAATACCAGGGATTCAAATAAGATGGGAACTACTTCCAAGATGATAGGAAACAAGTTACGGAGCAGTGCAGTAACTGCTCTGACTGTTCAACCACCTCTTCCAGGAGGATTCGAGGAATTCTCCTCTGAGGAAGGACACTGGATCAGATCTTAAACAATCATTGCTTGCTAGTACGAAGGAAAAGAGGGTGGCCAGAAGAGACCAGACAGATGTGGGTAGGAGGAGGACAAAGTTACACAAGAGATCCTGACTGCGCCAGCCCTTAATCCAGAAGAAAGAAGCGTGCTGGAATTTAGAGTTCCCTTAAGCAAGCAGTGGAGACCTTATTAAAAAGCACTAAACTTAGGGGGATTCTCAGATCATCTTTACTGAATAAAGACTCTGGGGATAAGCTTTAATTAATTGAGAATAAAAAGAGTGGGAGATCACTAACGATATCCCCAAGTGGAAAAGGATAGTAGTTGGAGGCCAGTACTAAAATCAGACTTTTAATTTGTGCTCAGGGAACTGCTAGCTCCTGAAAGCACTGTTTTCTCATGGTTCTGAAGCTTTAGTGAGGGCAAGAATGACAGTTTCTTTTAAATCCTTCATAGTCTGGTTATGCAGCTGGGAAGAAAGGCAGGTCTAAGATTTTGTTTTATTTTTGTTGTTCTTAACATACATCCTAGTGATTCACAAGCAGATGATCAATAGATCATACTCTAAGAAGCAGTGCCTTATAGCGCTATACACAGGCATCTGATAAAATAGGTAATACCAATTCCAGAGCTCTGAGCTATATAATTCTAAATGTTTCACATGTGTGCCAGACAACTAGATGCTATCACTGGAGGTGACATATTGACTTGCCGGAGCCACATAAGAGCTAAAAATGTTTTACACATTTGCCCAGAAGCATAAAGAAAGCTATGCAAGCACAAAACAGTGTCTTTGTAAATACCGTGGAATAGTAATAACGAAATTGCTATTTCTGGGCATGTTGTTAATTCTGCTTTACCCATCTATACCTGCAGGTTTCCGAAGGCCTGTACTCAGCGCTAGCTGTGGCCACACTGTGGAAGGAAAAGCTGAGTCCCAGCTGGACCAGGTGAGCCTGATGAACAGTGGCCCACCCAGGAACCAGTCAGATTTCACCAGCTATTCATCTCGACAGGCTCAATCACCCTGGGCCCTCCAAAAGAGGAAAGATGAGCCAGAGATTAGGTAGAGAGGGAAGTTCAAAGTGAAGCATAGGGGAGGGGAAGAGCTATTTATCCATCTTCTGAGCTGAAGCTTGCCTGTCAAAAAACATTCTTTGTTTAGTTTTCCTGAGGAAAATAGAACAGCAAATTATGTTCCGTTATGATAAAGATAAAGACAAAGCTGCAAAGCCATTGAAAAATTTTGTGAACTTAAGTTTCGTATTTTAAAAACTCTTTAAATTTCTAATGGGCTGGATTATTCATATTTAGGAATTTCAAATCATATATAGATAATTTTTTTTTTAATCATAGTGTACCAACCTTAAAATCACTCATTTCTCATCCCTATCTCAGTGTAAGGCTCAAGTCCAGAGCGCAAGAGGTGACAATTCTGCAGGAGAAGAGTGCCATCTGCAGGAGGACTGTATAATAACTGACAAAATCCTCAGAGTTAATAAAAATGAGACAATTCATTAGTGGAGATTCCACACTCAGCAAGTTGTCTGGCATACAGTAAACTCAATAAATTATTATTGTTATTTGCATGGTAGTAATTATGGCAATATATAATTTTGCATTGCATCTCTTGAAATTGAAAAACAAAAACAAATCAAAAGCCCAAGGAAGAAAGAACCAGAGGCTATTCAGATTATTCAGATCATTCTCCTGGTTTTCATAGGAACCCCTCCAGATATGTAAGAATCTATACCATTTTTAAAGATCTTACAGAAGGAAATTCCACAGCCTCTTATATTCATACCCATGGCTCTACAAGCTTCAGCAGGGCCAGGGCCAGGAAAACTTTGTTACATAAATTTACTTTGGAATGCTCTCCTTCCGCCCCTTTCAGAATCGATACCAGCCCTCATTTTAGAACATACGTTCTTTCATCTGTTCAATAAATATTTTTTTGTGCACCTGCTATGTCCCAGGTGCTGTGATATTTAACCTGCATACAATGGTGAACCCACCATATTTCCTGTCTTTCAAAAGTTTACAGCCAGTTGATCCTCTAAGACTCCAGGATGCTCCTGCTTCCTTTTCCCTGTCTCCCACCTCCTTTTTCAGCTCCTCCTTCCTTCTTCCTTATAAATACTTCATGCTAGGAACTTCCCACAATCCCCCTTACTCTCAACAAAACTAAACTGCCTGTGCTTTATTTTCTCAGGGTTCTAACCTAGGTAGTGACTAGCTAATCTGGTAAATGATTTCA
Organism: Homo sapiens; assembly: GCF_000001405.40. Taxonomy (NCBI): domain Eukaryota; kingdom Metazoa; phylum Chordata; class Mammalia; order Primates; family Hominidae; genus Homo; species Homo sapiens. The sequence goes on along the minus strand of NC_000004.12, from coordinate 78,951,257 downwards.
CGACAAATGCTAATTGATCTCATCACCAAAGTAATTTGAACACTTTTTCATGAGGTATTTCTGAAGACACAACAATCATTTAGGTCTCTGTGTTGGACTAATGGAGATGATCTTCTGAGTTAGGCAGGGCCTTGTGGTGTATGTGGTACCTGGTACTCCAAAGAGCAGAGCCAACCTTGATTTTTTTGGTTTTACGCCATTATTTCAACCTATTTCTCAATTTGCCACAATAGAGTTAAAGAATTCTATTGAAGATGTACCCAATCATCTTTTACTATAGAGTAGCTCCTTTAAATTCTTGATAAATGTCTCTTCTCATTCTTTTCTCTGATACAAACAGGCTCCCAATAATAATTCAAAACACCACTGAAAAATGAAACATTATGTTAACTTGCATTTTTCATCTTTTATGCATATTTTCCTAAATTTTACACTGCAAATAGATGATGAAGCCACCACTGAACTTCCTCAATTTTATAAGTTCAAATCAGATATGAGATTATTGCAAGCTACTACTCCTGTCTGTTATAAGAGGTGATTTCTACTATTAGTGGTTCCTGATGCATTTTCTTAACCATTCTGCAAGATGGTGTTTGTTTAATTCTGGGCTCTGCAAATGGTGGTCCTGTTTCTGACAGCATTTATTAAAAATAAAAATACATCAGCCCAAATTAAGAAAAAATCCCTTCATTTTCTTGAACTGGAGTGTATATATTCATACCGAAGAAAATATAAGAAAACAAGTAATAAGAAGATAGGGTTTGTATCCCAAAATGTAAACTTTTTCAATGAGGCATAGTTTTTTTTCTTTATTTTAATATCTATCTCTAATTTTAAGAAGGCCCTGTGGAAACTGCATCAACTGCCTTTGAATATTTCCTTGGATATGATTGGGTTGTTAAATTTACACGTTCAAATCTCCTGGATAAGAATGATCTGTAACAACCCACTACAAATTTGGGCAACATTTATAAATAAACATTGGAATTTATTCCTCGGAAAATTTAAAATGCCATAGGTGAAGGGAATTGAATATTATTGATGCTTTTTCAGTGCCAGGTACTTTGTATATGTTATTTCGTGTGACTTTAAGCCCTGTCAAGTTATTTAGGTTGTTTAGACTTATCCTCATCTAATAGATGAGAAAATCAAGACCAAGAGAAATTCTATAACTTGCCAGTAAGTTATATTGTTCAGATTCAGCCTCACGTCCATCTGGGTCTAGCACATGTTCCTTCTATGATACATGAAGACCCTTATTGTAAGTGCTGGCTGTGAGTTTCAAATGAAAAGATGGGCTTGGCATTGGGATGAGATGATGTAACCCAAGGCAAGAACTCTGATGGAGCACCCTGAAATGGAACACTGTAATGGACCACCATAAAAACAGGAAAACATCTTTAAAGAGCATGTGGTTACTTATTTAATATACATTACTGATTATCAAGTTATGTTTATCATTTGTGGGGGTTTTAGATCTAATTTTCAAAGTGTAGCCATTTGGAGATTAAATATTATAGTGTAATGTCTGTACATCATTTCTGGTGAATCAGACTTCACTATTACTATAAATACATTTTAGGCTAAAAAACCCTGACTCCTAGAGTAATGAATAAGCTTATCCCTCACATTTAAGCTTTATTGATTTCTGCTTTGTATTATGTTTCAGAATATTTAGAATGTCATTTTTGTAGTTAATAGGATTGTCTGTGCAGATGGTAAAAATACATTTATTCAAGCCCAATCTTCATTCTAAAGATTTTGGTATAACATTATTTGTTCACTTCTTTATTTATAGAAAATTTATTGTAAAACTGTTGGGTATTTATCGTAAACCCTAGCATGAAACTACCATCTGACCGTGACCCAGCAATTGCACTTTGGGGAATTTATCCCAGAGATAAGAAAAATTCGATTTTCACAAAAACCTGTATAATAACCCAAATCTGGAAACAACCCAGATGTCCTTCAACAGGTAAATGATTGAACAAACTGCGATATATCCAATCCCAAAAGGTTACATACTGTGTGATTTCATTTATATAACATTATCAAAACAACAAAATCATAGAAATGAACAAATTAGTGGTATCAGGGGTTAAGGAATGGGTGGGCAGGAGAAAGTATGTGTGGCTGAATCCACAACATAAGGGATCTTTGTGGTAATGGATCTTTGTGGCGAATGATACTGCACCTTGACTGTTATCAGTGTCAATATCATGGTTGTAATATTGTGCTATAGCTTTTCAAGATGTTATTATTGGAGGAAACTGAGTAAAGGGTACAAGGGATCTCTGTCATTTCTTAAAATTGTATATGAGTCTACAATGACCTCAAAATAAAAAGTTTAATTAAAAAAAAGAGGTCAAGCATGGTGGCTCATACCTGTAATCCCAGCATTTTGCCAAGGCAGGAGGATCACTTGAGACCAGGAGTTCAAGACCAGCCTGGGCAACATAGGGAAACCGTGTCTCTACAAAAAAAATAAAAAATAAAAAGTAGGTTATTTTTTGAGGGGAACTCTGAAATAAAAATAAGACAAAAATACAAAAAAAAGTTAGCCAGGCATGCTGGCACATACCTGTGACCAAAGTTACTCAGGAAGTGGAGGCAGGAGGATCGCTTGAGGCCAGGAGGTTGAGGCTGTAGTGAGCCATGTTTGCACCACTGCATTCCAGCCTGGGCAACAGAGACACTACCTCAAAAAAGTAAAATAAAATAGATAGATAGATAGATAGATAGATAGATAGATAGATAGATGAGAGATATCACACCTAAAGCACTGGTACTACAAATAGAATAAATACTCCTTAAAAGACATTAAATCTTGTTGTAAATACCTATAAGAAAGCAGGCAGTTCCCATGCAGTGTGGCAAATTCAATGTTACAGTTTTCATACAGGCCAGGGGAGAGAGAGGGGTAAGAAGTCAGATTGCCATGAGATAACGAACAAAAGGAAAGTTAGAAATGGAGACAATAAATGTAGACTGTTTCTAGAAATATGGCTGAGAATGGAAGGAGAGAAATCTGTAGTTTTAGAATAACATACAAAAAAAAGAGAGAGAGAGAAGTGAATAAAACTGAGAACCAAAAGTCCATATAAGAGATCAATGAAACCAAGAGTTGGTTCTTAGAAATAATAAACAAGACTGGTAGATTGTTAGCCAGATTAACAAAGAAAAAAAAGAGAAAATCCAAATCAGAACGATCAGAAATGACAAAGATGACATTACAACTGATCGCACAGAAACACAAAAGATTCTCAGAGACTGTTATGAACACTTTTATGCACACAAAGTACAAAATCAAGTGGAAATTGATAAATTCCTAGAAACACACAATGCCAAAGATTGAATTAGGAAGAAAGTAAAAACCTGAACAGACCAGACTGAATTAGGAAGAAAGTGAAAAACTGAACAGACCAATAATAAATTTGTAAATTGAATCTGTAATTAAAAACCTACAAACCAAAAAGAGCTCTGGACTACATGGATTCACAGCTGAATTCTACCAGACACATAAGGAAGAACTGACACCAATCCTATTGAAACAATTTTTTTTTAAATCAAGGAGGAGGAGCTTCTCTCTAACTCATTCTACAAAGCTAGCATCATACTAATACTAAAATGTGGCAGAGACACAACAAAAAATGAAAACTTCAGGCCAATATCCCTGATGAACCCAGATGTAAAAATTCTCAACAAAATACTAGCAAACTGAATCAAATGCAGCACATTAAAAAGTTAATTCGCTATGATCAAGTAGGCTTTATTTCTGATATGCAAGGTTGGTTTAACATACTCACATCAATAAATGTGATAAACAGAATCAAAAATGAAAACCATAAGATCATCTCAATAGATGCAGGAAAAGCCTTCAATAAAATCCAGCATCCCTTCATGGTAGAAACCCTCAACAGATTAGGCATTGAAGGAACATACATCCACATAATAAGAGCTATCTATGATAAACCTACAGCCAACATCATACTGAACAGTCCAAAAACGGGAACCATTCCCACTGAGAAGTGAAACAAGACAAGGATGCCTACTCTCACCATTCCTATTCGATATAGTACTGGAAGTCCTAGCCAGGGAAATCAGACAAGAGAAAGAAATAAAAGGCATCCAAATAGGAAAAGAAGAAGTCAAACTATCCCTTTGCCGAAAATATGATCCTATACCTAGAAAACCCTAAAGATTCTGCCAAAAGGCTCCTGGATCTGATAAACAAATTGAGTAAAGTTTCAGGATACAAAATCAAAGTACAAAAATCAGTAGCATTTTTACATCAACAGTGTTCTAGCTGAGAACCAAATTAAGAACACAATCTCATTTACTATAGACACAAAGAAAATGAAATACCTAAGAATCCATCTAATAAAGGAAGTGAAAGATCTCTATAATGAGAACTACAAAACACTGCTCAAATAAATCAGAAACAATACAAAGAAATATAAAATATTCCATGCTCATGGCTTGGAAAAATCAATATAGTTAAAACGGCCATACTACCCAAAGCAATTTACAGATTCAACTCCATTCCTATCAAAATACCAGTGTCATTTTTCACAGATTTAGAAAAAGCTATTCTAAAATTCATTTGGAACCAAAAAAGAGCCCGAATAGCCAAAGCAATCCTAACAAAAAGAACATATTCAGAGACATCCCACTATCTGACTTCAAACTATACTACAAGGCTACAGTAATCAAAACAACAGGGTAACGGTATAAAAACAGACACATACAACAGTGAACAGAATAGAGAACCCAGAAATAAGCCCACATACCTACAACCATCTGATCTTAGACAAAAATCAACAAAAACAAGCAATGGGGAATTGTGCTGGGATAAGCGGCTAGCCATATGCAGAAGAATAAAACTGGACCCCTACCTTTCACCGTATATGAAAATTGTCTCGAGATAGATTAAAGATTTAAATGTATGACCTCAAACTACAAAAAGCCTGGAAAAAGACCTAGGAAATACCCTTCTCAACATAGGCTTTGGCAAAGAATTTATGTTAATTGTGACAAAAACAAAAACTGACAAGTGGGACTTAATTAGAGAACTTCTGCACGGCAAAATGAATTACCAACAGATAAACAGACTACAGAATGGAAGAAAATATTTGCAAACTATGTATCTGACTAAGAACTAATATCTAGAATCTACAAGGAACTTTAAAAAAATAAACAAGCAAAAACCAAACAATCCAATTAAAAAATGGGCAAAGGACATGAACAGACATTTCTCAAAAGACGACACACAAGTGGCCAAAAAAAATATGAAAAAATGCTCAACATCAGTACTCATCAGAGAAATGCAAATCAAAACCACAATGAGATATCATCTCATACCAGTCAGAATGGTGGCGATTATTTAAAAGTCAAAAAGCAACAGAGGGTGAGTGATATGGTTTGGCTCTGTGTCACCACCCAAATCTCATCTCAAACTGTAATCTCCTCATGTCAAGGGAAGGACCCTGTGGGAGGTGACTGGATCATGGAAGCAGTTCTCCCATGCTGTTCTCATGATAGGAAGGGAGTTCTCAGAAGATCTGATAGCTTAAAAGTGGCAGTTTCCCCTGCCTGCTCTTTCTCTCCTACTGCCATGTAAGAAAGTGCTTGCTTTTCCTTTGCCTTCTGCCATGATTGTAAATTTCCCGAGGCCTTCCCAGCCATGTGGAACTGTGAGTCAACTAAACCTCTTTCCTTTATAAATTACCCAGTCTCAGGTAGTATCTTTATAGCAGTGTGAAAACAGACTAATACAGTGAGACTGTGGAGAAATGGGAATGCTTATATATTGTTGATGGGAATGTAAACTAGTTCAGCCACTGTGGAAAGTGGTTTGGAGATTTCTCAAGAAACCTAAAATAGAACTACCATCTGACCCAGCAATCCCACTACTGGGTATATACTCAAAGGAAAATAACTCATCCCGTCATAAAGACACATGCACCTGTATGTTCATTGCAGCACTATTCACAATAGCAAGGACATGAAATCAGCCTAAATACCCATCAACAATGGACTAAAGAAAATGTGGTACATATACACCACAGAATACTGAGTAGCCAAAAAAAAGAACAAAATCGTTCTTTCAGCGCTTTGCAGGAACATGGATGGAGCTGGAGATCATTATCCTAAGCGACCTGACCTAACACAAGAACAGAAAACCAAATACCACGTGTTCTCACAAGTGGGAGCTCAACATTGAATCCACGTGATTGTAAAAATGGGAAAAAGAGACACTGGGGATCACTAGATCGAGGAGGGAGAGAGGGGGGCATGGGCCAAAGAACCACCTGTTGGGTTCTATGCTTATTGCCTGGATGGCCTGAAGCCTCAGTGTCATGCAGTTTACCCATGTAAGAAACCTTCACAGGTACCCTTTCACCTATAATAAAAGTTGAAATGTTAAAAAAAATTACAGAGGTTTTTTTTCTCTCATTCTATATTTTCTCTCATTCTATAGTCTGTTTCTCTCATTCTATAGTCTGTTTACTCAAAATATTTTCTCTCATTCTATAGTCTGTTTACTCAAAAATGCTTGTTTGCAACATGTTTAAGAACCAAAGGGGAAAAAAATAGAGAAGGAAAGGTTGGAGACATATCTGAGAGAAGGATAATTGACAGAGCAAGGTCCATTAGGAAACGAAGGGGAGCATGATTCAGAAAATAGGCAGCAGGGTTGACCTTAAGTAGGAGGTGTTAAAGTAGTCATTTCTATTGAGACAGAGGAAAGGAAACAAAGAATGGGCTTTAATTGTGAGTGAACTTACAGGTGGAAGGCTAGCAGTAGAAAGCTGAGAGAGTTCCTACTCTATGACCTCTATTTTCTCTGTGAGATAGGAAACAGCTGATTTGCTAAGGAAGAGGGGAGATGGGCACATATAATGTCAAGTAAACATTTAAAATATCCAAATGATGTTGAAGGTTCTGTAGAGATTGTAAACAACTTGTAGAAATACCAATCCATGCCATCCTGTCATTTTCTTTAGCAATATGGTTGTAGAATTAAAGAGGACATAGTTAAATTGATGAACTGCTTCTTTGTTTTTTCAGACAAGCTTAATTAGGCAGGGGAGTCAAAAATCATTGACAAGGAACTGGTTGCAGTGATGGGGAAGGAAGCAAAGGAGGTTACTAATAAAATTGTGCCAAGGGAAGAGATGACTGCAAGACTTTTGGCTTAAGAGGCTGAGTAAATAGAGATTTAGGGATGTAAATAGATTTAGGAGAAAATATAACAGTTCATTTGTAATATTTCAGGTTTCTATGTCCGGCTCCACATGCAAATCCAGATGCATAGAAAGGAGATCCAACCTGAAAAAGACAGTAACTGAAGCCATGGAAATATAAAGGGAAAAAATAGAATTTACAACACTGAAGAAGGAATCCTGAAAACATTCGGAAGGGTCAGACAGAGAAACAGTGGCTATAAAGTCCCTTGGGACTTTATAGACAAGCCAGAAAGATAAGGAAAAGAGTCCAGATGAGGGTGGTCCCAAAAGTCCAGAAAAGAGAGTTCAATGGTAGAGTGATCAAAATGTTAGTGCTGCTGAAATCTGCAAAGGTTGTTGTCTAAAATTTGTCTTATTCATCTCTGTTAGCATATAGGAAAATGTGTGGCACATTGTCAGAATTCAGTAAATGTAAAGTTCTGTGTTGTGGACATCTCAATACCTGCAAATCTCACTCCAACACTGTTTGAATTGTAACAAATGCAGAAAGGGCAAGGAAGGAAGGAAGGAAGGGAAGGAGGGAAGGAGGGGAGGGGAGGAGAGGGGAGGCGATCTGTCTTACCCCAAAGGCCCCATTCAGCCCCCATGTCTCCTGTCCCCAGGCTCCTGCTCCCACTTGGAAATTCAGGACTTCAGCTCCTTGAGAACTGCATCCCATTCCCATCCACACCACCTCAAGCATCTCTAAAATCCAGGATTTGTCTCGCAGTTGTTCATGATAGGGTGCTACCATTTTCCCATTATCTTTGACTGGACAGTTCAGTTCCCCAACCTGCCACTTCAAGAGGCACCAAAGTCTCCTGCTGGATGCTGTCGATCTCCACCTATCACAGATGCTGGTGCCTCACCAAGTGCATCAACAAGTTTTATTCTTCCACCAGACATGCTGCTGAAGATCTCTGTTAAGCACCATGACTAAACAGCCAGAGCCCTCAAAGTGCCACAATGTCATTGTTATCTGTGGGGAAATGCGCCCTCTCACCTTTGTGTTACCCTCTGTTAGAGGTGTCCCAAAGCAGTGTTGCTCCTGCTTCCATTGTCTTACAGATTTGAATAGAAGAGCTCTTTCCATTTCTATTATTTTGTTTTTTTACCTATAGATCTCTTTCTCACTCTAGGACTCAGGCATGGATTGTTGCTATATCTACCTTTTCATATTTGTTTGTGAATTTTATAAGTGTTTTTTTAGTGCTTGTTGTTAGAGTGCATAACTGGAAAGTTAAGTCATGTAAATGGACTAGGGAGAACTGAAAAAGGCCATAAATTGTTGAAATAAATCCAGAAGTCATTTTGCAAAAGGTTTCATGGGTACACTGCTGAAGACCAAAGCAGTTCCCATTTTTAGGGTTTTTTTTTTTTTTTTTTGAGACGGAGTCTCGCTCTGTCACCCAGGCTGGAGTGCAGTGGCGCAATCTCGGCTCACTGCCAGCTCCACCTCTCGGATACATGCTATTCTCCTGCCTCAGCCTTCCATGTAGCTGGGACTACAGGCACCCGCTACCACACCCGGCTAATTTTTTGTATTTTTAGTAGAGACAGGGTTTCACGGTGTTACCCAGGATGGTCTCAATCTCCTGACCTCGTGATCCGCCTGCCTCGGCCTCCCAAAGTGCCATTTTTAGTTCTTTACTCTAGTGTCCCATCATTATCATAACTCAGCTACTTTCTCTGTGTCTGATAATCTCTGGGCATCTTTCTACTTTGTTTCAAATAACAGGCTACGGATTCTCTTCCCACATCTCCAGGTCAAATTCCTAAGGAAGTAATTGATTGATCAAACTAATTACCATTGTTCTTGAATGGACATTTGTGCCATCGAATGTCATGGAATACTGATCTACTTTTGGTTCAGCAATAGACTCAAGGTAGTATCATATGGTACCAGCAAGAAATACGTGCAGAAGGAACCTCCTATAAGAGGTCTGTAGGAGTGGCAGGTAGGCATTCTCAGGCATGAACGTCCTACACTAGGAAATGAGAATTTCTATACACAGTAACCTTCAGCAGAGACAATGTACTGAGCATGTAGTAAGTTCTCAAACATTATTTTTAGCTCCATGACTTAAAAAATAAGTCTCACTTACTTCATAGGACATTTAAGTCCACTTAGGATATATTTCAATTTACCTTTCCAGTTTTATTGATTATTTTTCCTTGAACTCTCTATATAGCTTACATTTGTTGAGTGCTAACAGTATGTCTGGTACTTTTCTAAGACTGTTACATGGATTTAGTCATTTAATCCTCAACAACACAAAGTACTGTTATTAGTCTTATTCTACCAATAAGAAAACTGAGGCTCAGAGAGGTTAAGTTACCTGCACTAGGACATGTATTAATAGTTAGTAAATGATTGAACACAAATTCGAACTTAAGTAAATGGCTTCAAAGTCCAATATCTTAATCACTAAGCCATACTGCTTCTCAAAAATCAACCAATATTACTAGCATAATAATAATAGGTATTATGAGTGATTATTGTATGTTGTCAGGGTTCAGAACACCACACCCACCCCAAAGTGTGGTGCTTTGACATGCTGAGTACTTTAAAGGAGACTGGGAAGGCCTCAAAACTAAGGTCTCTCTGAACTTCTTTCCGTCCTCCTTTCTTCCTTTTCCTGTTCTTCCCAAGTGGGTCTTACAACCTAGAATTTCTCTCCCTAAAGGAAGCCATAAAACCTAGTAAGGGGCCGGGCGTGGTGGCTCACGCCTGTAATCTCAGCACTTTGGGAGGCTGAGGCAGGCATATTGTTTGAGGTCAGGAGTTCAAGGGCAGCCTGTCCAACATGGTGAAACCCCATCTCTACGAAAAGTACAAAAATTAGCCGGGCATGGTGGTGGGTGCCTGTAGTCCCAGCTACTCGGGAGGATGAGGCAGGAGAATTGCTTGTACCCGGGAGGTGGAGATTGCGTGACCCGAGATTGTGCCACTGCACTCCAGCCTGGGCTTCAGAGTGAGACTCTGTCTTCCCCCAACAACAACAACAACAAAAAATCTAGTAAGGTTACTTTCTGACTGTCCCTGCCTTTCCGTGGTCACAAAGGAGTTCTGACTTACCTCACCTGAAACTAGGTCATAAAACCCTCATTCTAGAGAGTTCCTGCCCCATACTCTGAGGCCAAGAATTTGAATGAACTGGCCTTGCTAGCTAGGATCCCCCCTCAGTTTATTATCATTAGATGATGCCCCCTTTCAATCATGTTTCTCCACAACTATCCACTCCTTTCATCAGACTTAGCATAAAAAGCCCATTTTTTCCTGGGTCTTTGTGTCTTCATTTCTGAAGACTCCTCTGTCACATAAAACTGTGTTAAATGAATTTATTATCCCTTTTCTTGTTAATTTTTATTATTTATTTTTTGAGACAAAGTCTCGCTTTGTCACCCAGACTGGAGTGCAGTGGCACAAACATGGCTCACTGCAGCCTCGACCTCCCAGGCTCAAGCAACCCTCTCACTTCAGCCCAGAATAGTTTGGGACTACAGGCGCCCATCACCACACCCGACTAATTTTTGTTTTTTGTTTGTTTGGTTGGTTTTTTTTGTAGCGACAGCGTCTCACTATGTTACCCAGGCTGGTCTCCAACTCCTGGGCATAAGCAATCCGCCTGCCTCGGCCTTCCAAAATGTTGGGATTACAGGCATGAGCCACCTGCGCCTGGCTTCTCTTAATTTTTTTCATAGGAATGTCAGCTGTGAACCTTGTGATAAGTGAGGACAAGATATTTTTCTTGCCCTTACAATGCCAAACAATGGACTAAGCGTTCTATTATACACATACGGTACTCAAACTGATGTTTTGCCCTGTTGCCATTATAAGTAAACACTTGCATTACAGTAAATAGCCAGAAACAAAGCTGCAACACTTCCTGTAAACGCTACTATAGCCGCACTCCACAGGATTTTTTAATATGTTCTATATTATTCAGTTAAGTAGATATTCTCATTTCCATTGTGATTTCTTCATCAGCCCTTGAAATATTTGGTGTATTGCTCCTATTCCAGACGTGGAGACTTTTAGTTTTCTTGTTACTCTAGTTTAATTCTACTGTGATCAGAGAACATAACGCTGAAAGGGGTCGGAGTTTTGAATGCACGGGGGCTTTCCTTTATGGCTCAGGATGTGCTCGATGCTGGTGTATGTTCCACGTGCATCAGGTTTCCTCTCTTTCCAATTATCGTGCTAAGAGCTGACTTCAGCTTAGAAATCCTCAAAGTCCCTTCTGACACTAAGTGTGTGTAATTCCAAGCATAAACTAAACGGTAATTACCTCGAACTTTTCTTCCTGTTAACTCTTTTCCTCTTGATTTTTCAAAATGCAGCAACTATTACTTCTAATAAAAAAACAGAAAAAGAAAAAAAATCCACTTGTATTCGCCTGTAGCTCTGTGCTTTCGGCTCTTCTCATATGCAAACGAAGACCCCAGGCGCCGCCAAAACACAGCGTGAGAGACGCCCGGGAGCCCGGGCCGCCGCCAGCGCACGCTCGAGCACACCCGGGCGCGCCCCAGCACCCTGCCCCTCCCAGCTAGGGCTGAGGGGCGGGGCCGCCGCGGCGCGCTGACGTCAGAGGAGGCTGCGACGCTGCCGGGTCCGCCGCGGCGCTGGCGGCAGTGGCCGGTGTGAGCGCAGAGCCGGGCCCTGGGCAGCAGCGGCAGCGCGGTAGGACCTCGCGCAGCGTCCGCGGGCTCCGGGGCGGGGGCGCCAGCGGCGAAGCCCCCTCCCCGGGGAGGCGGGACCTGGGGGAGCTCCCGAGCCGGGGAGCGGCGGCGGCCGGGAACGATGCATCAGAAGCTGCTGAAGAGCGCGCATTACATCGAGCTGGGCAGCTACCAGTACTGGCCGGTCCTGGTGCCCCGTGGCATCCGCCTGTACACCTACGAGCAGATCCCCGGGTCCCTCAAGGACAACCCGTACATCACCGACGGCTACCGGGCCTACCTGCCGTCCAGGCTGTGTATCAAAAGGTACGGTCTGGCTGCCTCCGCCTGGAGTGCCCCCTTCTCTCACCTACACCCTTTTTGTCTGGTCCCCCTTCTGCTTTCCCCGCCTTTCTGCTTGCCCATCATTTCCTCGCCGCCCCATCCTTTTCATCCCTTTTTGCCGCCTCTCCTCCCCCGTTATCTCCCCTTACCTGGCCGGGGTACTTGGTCCACGGAATAATCATGATAGTAACAGTGATCATAATTACAGCTCTCCTATGACGCTTTGCTCTTTACAAAGGGCTTTTACATCCTTTATTCGGTTTGTTCGGCTCATTGAGATATATATTGAAATGGGGCTGAGCCATATTTGCCCGGTGTATACCTTTCTTTTTAGAGCAACACTGTGGGAATTCAGTAGCTTTGGGCCAGATAAGTGCCTGTATAATAGGAAACAAGTTAACATATACACCCGAGATTTATTCATTTGGCAAATACTTATGGAGCCCATGCAGAAAAAAAAGCAAACATGGCCCTTGTTTTCATGAAGCTACTAAGGTGTAGCCTGGGTAACAGACATTAAATAGATAATTACACAATTACATAATAACCATTGTGGAAAAAATGCTGTGTAGGAAAAGTACTGTGGTAAAGAGAGCTCATAACGGGCACCCAGTCTCCACTAGAGCACCACAGAAGCATCTCTAAGAAAGAAATTTCTTTATCATTTTAAACCTTTAAAACCACAGTCCCTTGAAAATCCGTGTTTTAAAAAAACAAAACTGAAAAATAACTATTCTAGTTCTTGGAGTAACTGTCCAAACTTACTACCTGTACTAAAATACAGGACCTCTGCTTCAGGAGAATTAAGATACAGGTGTTGGTTAGCTCCAGGTCGCTGTAGTGGCAAACCCTAGTGCCAGAATGTGGGCTGTTGAATTGCTCAAGCGGCAACCACATGTCTGATTCTTGATTTTTCCAGCATTGTCTTTTCCTGCCCTTCTTTCCTTTTGTCCTGCCATGAAAGTGTTTCTGTGACTCATGGTCACAAGGTGACATCACTGCCCATCCCTACTTGGCTTGAATGGATGGCCCTTAGGATTCACAACTTGAAGCGTAATTACCGTTTTCCTCCCCAGTGCCTCCTGTGCATGAGTAAATTACACAGCTGAGTTCTGCTGTGGATCTGGAGTTCCACAAGAATAGGGCAAGCAGTGAATTGCCTTAAATATTTTCTACTCAACTAGCAGTGGTCTTCTGCGTTCTGATGTTAGGGTCCAAATCTCATGGAGTGGAAAATTAAGTATAGAGCATTAGCTCTTGAGCTATTGAGTCAAAGACTTTAGTATCCAAATCTGCCACTTAACAGCTCTGAGACCTGGAGCAAAATGTAACCTCACTGAGCCTCATTATACCCACATATAAAAATGAGGGTAATCACAGTATCTGCTTCCAGAGGTAAAAAAAGATTCAGTAAGATTCTGTGTGTGAAATGCTATACATGGCCTGGAACCTAATAAGCCGTCAATAAATGGTGATTGTTGTCATCACCAGTGGTTGTGAAGCTGAACAGATGATGATAATGAAGATGATTATTTGATTTTAAAACTGAACAGAATACGAAGATGTGGTGCTGGACTCCTGTTAACTTCAATAAGGATGGCACCAGGTTCGAAAGACGGAAGAAGAGACCCAAAGCCAGTAAACAAGACATAGGGTTTTACTAGGGTAATTTACAGAGAGGTCCAGTGACAGTGGCCTGAACGGGAGAACCTCTGCCGCCTGCAGAAAGCATGCAGTTTAAATAGCATTTTTACTTAGCACCCTTCCCCCTAACAACCTCCATCTGGTAATCTTCATTTGCAAAACAAAAGGCCTCCATCCCATGTACAGTCAGCATTCCATGAGATGGGACAGGGGCTCAGATGTTCCTCATAGATAAGGAATCAGTCTAAGGGTTGGCCGTGCTTGGAATTGTAAACACACATTCAAGTGTGTTTTTCATATAGGGTCATTCTCAGGGTATGCTTAAGATACTGCTGTCAGGTGTGTCTACTGTGCAGGAGACACCTAACTTTTCGTACAGTAAGAGTAGATTCTTTATTGGAGATGTTCTTGCCTTCCCACCAGCCTTATCTTTTCCAAGTTTAGCCTTTGCCCTCTCTCCTTTTGGCTTTCAGGAGTGACGGGGACAGATTTTGGATGTAATCTGAGGAGGTTTTGTATGTCATAGCAGTTTTGCCAGTCCTCTGTTAGCTGCAGGGAACATGGAGAGGTGGTGCCTCTCAGTTCAGTTAGTCAGGTTATACTGGATTTCACAAAAAGAAAAGTTCTGAAGTAATAAGCAGAGCATAGTACTGATTGTCAAAACAGTCCTGTAGTTAGATGTTTCAAGCACATTCGTGCATCCCTTCCTCCAGTTATAAGTAGTCTTTACACTTGATGCTTGTACATGATAAAGCCTGAAATTCATGATCCAAGATTCACTTTATTTTTGATGATCATTTGATAGTTTTGACACCTTGCTATATACATCATGTATTTGGCCTTCACTGATTCAGAAATCCTTACTAGTAAGCGTTGACGTATAACTAAATTTGTAGCAGTCACTATGGTTCTCACTTTCATTGTTACAAGAAATGAAGTTGAGAAGCAAAGCAAATAGGAAATTCCATTTCTTGTAAAAATGAGAACCTGAGAACCACAGTGACTGCTACAAATTTAGAGTTATATGTCAATGTCATTATGTCAAGGATTTCTGAATCAGTGAAGACCAAAAACCTAAATTTAAGCAAAAATACGAGATTTTGCAGACAAATGCAAGAGTATTTTAATCTTTAGTCATGATGTCACCTTTCAGTAAATAATCAGATGAGTCCTATCTACATCTGGAGAACCATTTCACAAAAGTAAGAAAGGAGCTAGAAGAAAGTTGCAGCAGCATCTAATGAAGCTCCATTACTGTATAGATGAAGAAACTGAAGCCGGGAGAGGTTAAGTGACTTGTGTAGGGTGGGGACAGTGAGCCTCTTGACTCAGGGTGGTACACGCTCTAGCAACCTGTGCTGCCAAGTCCAGTTAGCCCAGGGCATTTTGAAAGAGAGCACGTAGTACCCATATTAAAAGTTAAGTCCAGTTGTTTGTGAAAAGGAGAAACTTATGCCACCTGGAAACTAGACTAGTTTTAAAACATCCACGGCAAAGTTGTTCTGGCATGCCTATCTTAAAGAACCTTTCCAATGGATCAATATATATTTATTTTGCTTCTCTTAAATCCATTTAATTTTGCATTTGTATTTAATGAGCTCTAGGAAAGTATTTTAAGATGATGCCTAACCTTGCACTGAGCAGGTTTTCAGATACGTATTATTGATAGAGTGTGCTAGTTAACATCCAGATTTCCTCTGCACGTTCATTTCTGGAGACCTTTAGTCTATAGACTAATCTGAGCAAGGCATTGTGAACAGTAGTGTCATAAAGATGAATGGTACTGACCATTAGGGAATTGATAGGCTGGAAGATGAGATGGAATTTGTATGTAAATCTCTTAATACAGAGAAGGAAATGGTAAGTATGATAATAGAGGTGAGCACCCAAAAAACTGTGGTCCCAGACTTGGTGGCGATGTAGAAAAACTTAGAATAATTTAATTAGATAATATATCAAATTTAGAAAGGTACAGGTGGGGTAAGAGCTTAAAGGAGCAAGTATTAGGTAACTCCTCAAAATTGTCCCTAACCTTTGAACGTGACAGTAAGTTGGCCAATGTGAATCTCAGTTGCATGTGTGTTTATTTTCCAGTTTGTTTATTTTATCTAATGAGACAGTAAACATCTGGAGTCATTTGCTGGGTTTCTTTCTCTTCTTCACCCTGGGAATATATGACATGACATCTGTGTTACCTTCAGCAAGTGCGTCCAGAGAAGATTTTGTAATTTGTTCTATTTGTCTTTTCTGCTTCCAGGTAAGTCATTTCACAAATACTGCTGTTGGTAAAGAGAACTTTTTGACAGGCAGTCTTGGTCAGGTGACCTTACCTCAGACCTACCACTTGCTTTAAAGAGCCCCGGAATGGCATGTTGGTCAGCTTATTGATTTTCATAACATAAACACCAAACGATGTGTTCTTATGAGAGTATGTTTGAAATCCATTAAATTACAAAGATTGAGAAGAATTTGTTTCTTTCCTCTTCTTTTGGGGCACCTCTGCTTTAAGATTAATTAAAAAAATAGGAATCTTTGATTGCATTCTATTATCTGGCTGAAGTACAACACTAGTGCCTACTTAAAACTTGTTTGGGAAGATTTCTCATCTCTTTCCTCCTGTTTGTGTTTGTGATTTTTGTATTTGTTATTTCCATACTATATTTTACTGTCCTGTTTTGCTGGTATTGATTTTTTACTCTGTTGCTTTAATGTTAATTTATTTTGAACCCACTGGCCTGGCTTCAAATACGTTGTTTCTTTTCCTCTCTACCTCCTGTATTTGTTAGTTCCATAGCACTGGCATTTTTCAAGAATCTGTAAAAATGTCTTTAAAAGTTAACATTTATTAGATTTCAAACAGATAATTTTGAATCAGAAAACAAATGTGGACTGTAGTTCTGTTGACATTTAAAACAACTTTTTCTGCTTCAGAGAACATAAAAAAACACAAAAATGAAAAACTTATTATCCCCCTTTCTCATGACAGACACAGAGTAGCTATTCCCTGCAGTTAGCCTGTTGCTGCTGAGTTTGAGAGGTGAATCTCATAACTCAGCTGCACAAATGTCGCTTTCATCATGTATCATTTTATTTCAGAGAGTCATCATTTTACTCAAGTTTAAACTTTGGACTTCAATGGCCAAGAAACACAGCAAAACAAATCTCTCTTCCCCTTTTTTATTAATTCCAATTTTTGGAATAATATTTTAATTTTCTTTGAGGGAAAGCATAATCTATTTTTGTTATTAGAAAATTATTTTTCCTTCAAATATTCTTTAAAAATAAACTCTTTCTGAGGTTTAATTTTTGCCCTGATTACAGCCAAAATATCCCTTGAAATCCATAACCAATTTTATAATGGAAATGAATCAATTTCTTTTTAAATTTTTAGGTGCATCTTAGTATAGATTAACATGCTATTAATAATCATTAAGTAAAAACTGGCTTCTATTCTTGTTAGTTATATGCATATTATCTACTTTGAGAATCCCTGCTCTTTTCCTCCATCCCTAGGCCTATTCTTTATGCCTTCACCACCTGCCACAGCTGATGTTAGTTCAGAGAATATGTATCAATTTCAGTATTGACCTAAGAAAACAATACATTGCAAAACTAAAAAGGATTAAATAATTACAACAATTTCCAATAAAGAAACAGACCCAAAATATTACAGTGACTTGCCCAGGATTATTCAGCAGGGCAGTAAAATCCTGTTCTCCTACTTGCTAGTGCAATGATCATTGTTACAATACATGCTGTACAACTTACTAAAGACAGATGAGCACATCTTCCCTACTTGAAAAGACCACTTCTTATCAAATTATAACTTGTTCACTTGAGTTTTCCAGATTCTTAGGGTCAGTGGACAGTATAGTAAACCATAGATATATTTATTAATATTGATTTACATTTAATATTAAAAGACATAACATTTTTCTCACTCCTATGCTTCTGTATGCTTTAGTGCTTTCCTCGCAACCAGATAAATAGAGTACATTCTGAACAATAGAATGTAATTGAGGGGCTTTGAACCTTCCCAGGGTATTTGTATTTTGGAGAAGAATGTTAGAATACAATAATGCCTTGATTTGATCCATTTACATTCAGTTAACAAATATTTGTTGAATGTGTCCTATATACATCCAGACACTATACAAGGCATCGGTAAAACAGTGCTGAACAGAACCAACCTGGTATAAAGGTCAAGCCACTCGTAGGTGTGCAGAAGAGACAGTGAGGCAGGGCATTTAAGCAGGAAAAAAGAAGCAAGACACACTTTCTTAGCACTTTCTGGACTTGCAGGTACTAGTTTTTGTGGTTGAAACCTAGGAGAATGGAGAAAGATAAGGCTGAAGAGATTGGCAGGGATCAAATCATGAGGTATTTTGTTATCATGCCAAGGAGTTTCGATGTGAATGTAACACTGTAATTATCTGTCTACCTTGATGGAGTGAGGTACTCCATAGAAGGAAACTTTCCATTATAACTGAAACATACCCAATTTGCCAGATTATCTTTCAGTCCATTTTTAAACTCTAGGAATAACATATTCCTTCTTAAACAGGGCATACTAGGTATGGGTTAACTTTAAAATCTGGGGTTTTCTGTTAATGCTATTTTACTTTTCCCTTGGATACCATAGTTTCTTTTTTTCCTCTTTTTATTTTCTTTTTCACAATGAAATGAGCTTTATGTTTGTTTCTAATTATTACTACAAGATATAATCATGTAGAAATTTAGGCAAACAGAAGTTTGTGGAAGAAAACGTCACCTGAAATTCCACTTTTCAGAGGTAACCACATTGGACATTTGCGTTAAACAATGAGTTTAACCCAAATGCGTATGTTTGTGTATGCATAGCTACCTTGCACCTGCCTACCTGCCTGCTCCCTTACCTGTCTACCTACTTCCAAGCTACAGTCATCTCTGCTTGCTATTTTGCGACCTGCCCTTGTGTCATTCAACATTGTGGCAATGGGATCTTTCCCCATCAATGAGAAATATACACTTTTATGTTCTCCTGATTTATGGTGCTTAATCTCAAGGATAATCTGAGAAAACAAATAACCAAACTTCTTTGAGTTACGTTTAAATAACTAACTTAGAATTAGTTACTGATTGGTTGCTTAGTAACCAAAAAGCTATAGACTATTAAGGATTTTAGACAATTGATGAAGCAATGAAGTTGTGGCAAAGTACATTGTTATTGAATACTGATATTGAGTCTATAGTAACTAGATTTGTTTAATGACCAGAATATAAAATATTAATAGCTAGATGACCATGTTACTGCCTTAGCAATAGCTTACAAAATGTTTATCATTTGTAACTACTTTATACTGTTTATTTGTCCCATTGCCTCCACCCCACTGTCACTGTCTCAGTGTTTGCTCTCCAGGGCTATTTCTGTAACCTCCTGTTTCAGCCCTTCTAGTCCACACCTCTGTTGGGGGGCACTTAAAATCTTCAGGAGTATCTTATCATACCCATAATATTGAAGTTAAAACCCATTAATGTATAGGAAATGTCATAATCATATTATAAAGAATATGATGCTTTTCCTTAATCCCTGCCCCCAGCCATAAATATGTGCACACCTTTTTTTATGTCCTTGGTGAATGCCAGCCCAACTTTTAAAATCTGCCTCAGGTGAACAGCCCTTCTCTGATACTTTTCTTCCCACCAGTCCCACCCTCCAAATGCACATGTACCTCCACAGAGTCAATATCCTCCCACCTTTTCCAATTATGCTGTGCACTGAAGTACAGTAGGATTTGTTACTGTACTGTTTGTTCAGTGATTCTGTATCACCTCCAATGTATGACATACAGCAGGTACTTAATAGCTGAAAGGCATTCTGCCATAGAACCTTATCAATTATCAGAACAGCTGATTGAATCAGATTAGCTTTACTCTCAGTTTGGCAACCATATAAAGTTAGCAAGTCATCACTGTTTTTTAAATTATTATTATTATTTTTTGAGACAGGATCTCACTCTGTCACCTAGGCTGGAGTATAGTGGGGCAGTCACAGCTCTGTCACCCAGGCTGGGGTATAGTGGGGCAGTCACGGCTCACTGCAGCCTCGATCTCCCAAGCTCAAGTAATCCTCCTGCCTTAGCCTCCCAAGTAGCTGGGACCACAGGTGCATGCCGCCATGCCCAATTTTTTTTTTTTTTTTTTTTTTTTTTTAAGAAATGAGGTCTCCCTATGTTGCCCAGGCTGGTCTCGAACTCCTGCGCTCAAGAGATCCTCCCACCATGGCCTCCCAAAGTGCTGGGATTACAGGCATGAGCCACTACTACACCAGCCTGTTTTTTCTTGAAGGCAATAAAACTGTGTTTACCTTAGAAATTAAAAGTAAACTCTATACAATGAATCTCATACAGACATGAACATTCTTAACTGAAAAAAAGCCAATTGTGGAACAGAATGCATAGTGTGATTTCATTTAATTTTAAAATGTGTGTGTATATATATATATATATATATATATAATGTGTGCATGTGTATAGACTAATATATCACAGGTGTTTGACATATGTATTGAAAATATCTGGAAAGACACATAAAAAATGTTATCACTGGCCACCTCTGGGGAATAGATTGAGTAAGAGGGGCTTATATTTATGTTCTTTGATTTTTTTAAGGCTATATATTGCTTCTATAGTAAATACTCTTTAAAAACAAATTAATTCATGGATCAAAACAAGCCTCAGATGATAGTTTTAAAACATTTGCATTGTATAACTTTCCCATTACTGTGCTATTTATTTATAATTTTCATTTTGTAATATAGTTATTTTAAATTTTCTCCTTCATTATTATTATCTACATTTTACCCATGAGGGAACTGAGGCTTTCCCTCATGGCTCTACATGGCTCTACATGTAGAGTGAGCTCTACAGTAGCCATGTAAGGCACAGAGCTAGAATCCAAGCCCATAAATGTTTGAATTGAAAGCCTAGCCTCTTAACTACTTCCCTGAATATCATGCATAAGTTGCTTTAGTTTCTTTAGTCACTTTGTTAATTTGTTTTTATTTTTCACAGGTCTGTATGCTTTGCTCTGTGGGCTATCATCTTTTTTCCTGCCATCGGTCAGAAAAAACATGTCGAAGATGGATGGCATTAGATTATGCAGGAATTTCTATTGGAATACTGGGCTGCTATGTCTCAGGAGTATTTTACGCATTTTATTGTAATAACGTAAGTAGATGAAAACATTTTACATTCGACCTTTCATATTGGTCTTGGGTTTTCTTGCCTTGGTTCTTTTGAATTTCTGAATAAGTACATAATTAACTTATAGACTAAATAGAAGAGTCTCGTATAAGCATAAACTTATTTTTCAGAATGGCCCTGTCATCTCTAACATCTGTTATCAGTTCCATACTTACTTTACTAATTTTCTATTGGAAAATATATATACAGTTATTTTCTGAAACTTAATGTAGACATTAAATTATTAATGTTTTCACTAAATCTATATGGCTGCGTGGTTCCTCAGATATGCACATTATATATCTTTTATTTGTGTGTTTATAGAATTGAAGTTAAAATTAACACTTGTTAAAATTATGAAGTTGGTTACTGCTTACCATTTCTTTTTTCTCCTCTCAGTGAAAAAAAATACAGGAAAATATATCTGAATTTATTAGCCCATATTCTTCTGTAAAATATGTTTTCCTGTCTTCAGTCTTATGTTTGGGGGTAGGCTTGTAAGACAGACCAGATAGGAGTCAGTGTCTTTAACAAATGTGAGATGTGTCTTTTCTGAATTCTGGATCAACTCTGCTTTCTGTCACTAAGTTCACACAAAAGTCAGTTTTTGCCTTGTGCAAAGCAGCATTTGCAACACTGTAATCAGATAATACAGCACCTGACCTAAAAATATTGGCCAACCAAACCTTACGGAGTAGAACCCTTAACTCATCACCTCATGTTCCAGCCAAGAAGACAAATTCAATGTTCCCATGGTTTCAGTACATCTCAAGTTCTCCCTTTCAGAAAGTCCCCTTCGACCCTACTTTGTTTTCTTCCTGTTTTTCTACCATGCCCTTGTTTTTTCTTTTGCCCTTTTAGTTACCTCCCTTTCAGAACCAAGACTGAGCTTCTCCCTCAGGAGCAGTATACCTACTAGTTATTTCTAGTCCTAGTTACAAAGAATAGAGCCTGTCCTGCCCAAGGCCCACCATGTAACAGGTGCTCTAAGGAAGGGGTCACCAACCCCCAGAAGCTGTCCGTGGCCTGTTAGGAACCAGGCCATGCAGCAGGAGGTGAGCAGTGGGCCAGCGAGCCAGGGAAGTTTCATACGTATTTACAGCCACTCCCCATGGCTCGCGTTACCACCTGAGCTCTGCCTCCTGTCAGATCAGCAGCAGCGTTAGATTCTCACAGCAGCGCGAACCCTATTGTGAACTGCACATGCAAAGGATTTAGGTTGTGCAATGTAATGCTTGATGATCTGTCACTGTCTCCCATCACCCCCAGAGGGGGACCGTCTAGTTGCAGGAAAACAAGCCCAGGGCTCCCAGTGATTCTACATTATGGTGAGTTGTATAATTATTATATATTACAATGTAATAATAATAGAAATAAAGTGCACAATAAATGTAATGCACTTGAATTATCCCGAAACCATCTCTGCCTGCCTCCCCGCACCATGATCCATGGAAAAATTGTCTTCCACAAAACCAGTCCCTGGTGCCAGAAACGCTGGAGACCACTGCTCTAAGGCACAGTCCCCAGACTTCACTTATTGGGAAGATCGGCCGCAGTGTAGAATTTCTCACATTGCTTGGGATTTTTCAGTAGGACCTTTGTCTCTACACAATAACAGAGAATACTGTCAACATATCTGGTATGAAAATTAGTGAAGAGAAAAATCATAAATTTGATTTGAATACGTAAGAACATTATTAATTTTAGCCACTTAAACGCGAGCCATTTGCTTTTTGCTTTTTAGGCCTAATCACTTTGGAACATAAGCACATAATTAAAAATATATGCAGGTAACCTTGTTGTAAATTGACTTGATTTTAGCAGTATGCTATTTATTTCTGCCCAGCTTTCATAACTTACTCATTTTGCATGAAACTGTTTATATCTTTAAAAAAAATTAGAACATACTAATAACCAGGTGCTTGTGAGTACAGCCATGTAATATTTGAATTGTTTTGCTTATCTTATTCTGTATTTCTCTGAAACTGTTTTCTGTTTACCTCTTGCTAAATGTCAAAGTGAGATACTTTTTGTAAATCTCTTACCAGAAAAACTAAAAGTCCAAGATAGATTAAAAAGATAAGGGAACTGCTGAAGCTGATAGAGTCAGTCCATGATCGTTGAAAAATTGCTTTCTTCCATCTGGTTTCTAATCATTTTCAAACACTCAGTTGCTGTAGACCTATAAAAGACTCGTTTTACCTTTTAAGGAACACAGCTGCTTTCAGAATGAGATTGGAAACTGTGGACCCTAGATCCAGTAGAATGCACTTTTGCGCACACCCTAAACAGTCTGACATTTGATTTCAGAAAGTTAATAGCCCCAAAGAAGTCCTTGGAGCCCAGATTAAGAACTCTTGTCTTACGTGACTTTTGACTTTAAGACCAGCTAACTGCTTATTTAAATACCTGCATATCCCATAAGCCCTTCAAACCTAAGCGAAGTGTGTGTTCTTTCATGCCCCTGTTCTCTTCCCCCATCACACACACAGCAAAACTGGAACATCTTTGTTCATTTGCTTCATTAATAGAAGCCATTTATGTGGCCTTTCAGGCCAAAAACAGTCAGGCTTTCCTCTACTGCCCTCTCACACAGCCAGTCAGCCATTAAGACTTAAGCTTATTTCAAAAATGCCTCCTAAATCTGGTGCTCACATCTACTTTATTCAACAGGAGTCCAAGCCCCCACTCTCTCTTTGAATAAACTAAACTAGTATCTTTCTAGCTGGTTTCCTGTCACCTATTTTCTGCACTGATGTCAGAGTTGTCTTTCTAATAAGTCTGTTTGAAAGACAGCCATGTCATCCTATTCTTAAAGAATTCTGTTATTCCTCCAGTGCCAGTGTGGTAAAGTTCAAAACATTTAGCCTAACAGTATGCCTTTTTAGCCTTTTTTCTCAAAACTTCCTGCTGCATTTGCTGTTCTCTTTCCTTGAGAGCTCTGTCTTCCCACAAAATCTTAGATGTCATCTCTGTGAAGCATTTTTTAGCTACCCCAAGTAAAGTTAATTGTTCCCTCTTCTGTGGTTCTACAATGTTCTGTTCCTCAATTACGGTATCTACCATAAGATTATAATCTTTTGTTCACATTCTGCCCCTCCCATAGTCTGTGAGCTGACTGCTGGGAGAGTCCATGTCATAGTCATCTTTGCTTTTATAGGACTTGAACTGTGCCTGGCAGATAATAGGTAATCAGAAAATGCTTTTGTATGAATAAATGTAGTATTTTACCAGCTCACTTTAGAATTTGGTTTGTCATTCTGACAAACCTAAAAGTTGTATGGAACATATTTTTTAATGAAGGGAGATAATCCTATTTTGAAATGCAAATACCAAGTAAATAGACTTTGGAATTTGTAGTGTAAAAGCCAAAATTACTTTTTCAGTTCCTTTATTGTTAATAACAGAATTAAAATGTGATTTCCTTTCATTCTAGTACTGGCGTCAGGTGTACTTGATCACAGTGCTTGCTATGATCCTGGCAGTGTTCTTTGCGCAGATTCATCCCAATTACCTCACGCAGCAATGGCAAAGGCTCCGTTCTATCATCTTTTGTTCTGTTTCGGGATATGGAGTGATTCCTACTCTTCACTGGGTTTGGCTCAATGGAGGAATTGGTGCTCCTATTGTACAGGTAGGTTGAGTGTAGTTAATATTTTTCTCTTTTTTTTTTTCCTTTCAATTTTATTCCTTTTGGGTAAAGTAGTATAATCAGGCCAAGTGGGTAGATGTTTGTCATTTGAGAACATATTTGTAATTGCATGTTGATGCCGTAATTTTCACAGCCATATAAATAAGCATACCTTGCAGAAGTCGAGGTAAAATCTGAATACTGATTTTCTCTGAGTTGTCTTTCTGTAAAAAAAAATACATTATTATTCTCTATTACCCTTAGTATATAAATACCCAAGTCCTTATTTGTGGAGGAGGACTCCAAAGTTTCTAGCTTTGTCTGCGGGATCAGTGATAATGCCAATGATAACGCAAGTATAGAAATAGGAGCAGTTGATCTTTTAGGGGGTGAAGGGAGGTTGGGAAGGATTTTTTTTGTTGGACCCGATGAGTGTGGGGTACCCATTGGATGTAAAGGTAGAGATAGGATCTGGGATTTCAGCCAGAGTTTGAGACTGGCAATAAAGATTTGGAAATCATCATTGTATTGGTAGCTGGAGCCAGGGAAGCATGTTCAATCCACCAAGGAGAATATATTGAGAAATAAAAGAAGAGCTATTTGTTAGAATCAGGTATTATGGGGGAACAGTTGATGTGCATTAGGAAGAGTCTCAGTGAGAACTCAGGATTCTTGAGAAAAGGATTAGAAATAAGACTTACATTTTTAGAGATCATTACAAAAATGCTGTACATATGCACTAGAGAGTAAACTTGAGAATTTTTAATACAAGTAAATAGGCCAAGAAATCTGACAGAAATCACATATACTCATTGCAATGGTACCTTTGTCTAGAATGTGTGACTTTAAAGGGGGGTTTCATTCAAAAGAATCAGATTTTATTAGAAGAGGAGGGACCATTAGTGGGCCTACATTTATTTGCATGAAGTTGGCAGCAGCATAGTAGAAAACAGTTGGGTGTACAGCTGAAAAGAAAGGAAGTTCTGTGACAGAGTGAATTGAGTGATATAATCTGGCTACTTGGCCAATGTGAGGACAAGGGTGATGATGTCTTCATAAATTAGGATATTGGGAGAAAGGTGAGACAGTAATGATGAGGGACATCAGGAATCCTCCTATCTGTGAAAACATCTTTCTGACAATTTTGATTCCTTTATAATAAGAAAATGAAATGGGGAACTGCCACTGTAGATAAATTCCAGCTGGAATAATTGGTTGTTGATACAGAAGTGACCAAAATTTCTAGATTTGATAAACACATTCCTTTTGAGCTTATAATGACAAAAAGAATAAGACCCATTAAGTCAGTGAATTTTAGAGAAATTAAGAAAAAGGGATTTTTTTTTTGTATTCAGAAATCTTAAAATGGAAAGATGGCTTAGATAGTAGTTTTCAAA
Source organism: Homo sapiens (assembly GCF_000001405.40). NCBI lineage: Eukaryota > Metazoa > Chordata > Mammalia > Primates > Hominidae > Homo > Homo sapiens. The sequence continues at coordinate 78,925,126 of NC_000004.12, read as the reverse complement.
GATGGAATCCTAATGTGATCACAGATCATTCCGGTGAGGAAGCAAAGGGAAACTTTCACAGAAATTCTTTGATAAGCTCTATTTTAAAAAGATGGAAAGACAGGCACTTTAACAAAGTTAAAAAGTTCTGGAAGGGTTAATCTTGGGAGGCAAGATCAAGTTGTGTTCTAGAATGTTTGAGAAATCTGAGTTTGATTAATCTAAAAAATATAGGAGTTAGGGAGGGCTATGATGATTCTCATATTTGAAGAGGAAGGAGAAATTTGTCTTTACATTTTATTTCTTTGAAACAGAGTCTCTCTCTATTGCCTTCAAACTCCTCGGCTCAAGCAGTCGTCCCACCTCAGCCTCCTAAGTAGTTAGGACTATAGGTGTGCACCACCATGCCCAGCTAATTAAAAAAAAAAAAAACAACTGTAGAGAGAGGTGTCTTACTATGTTACCCAGGCTAGTTTTGAACTCCTGTCTTCAGCTAATTAAAAAATAATAATAATTGTAGAGAGAGGGGTCTTACTGTGTTGCTCAGGCTAGTTTTGAACTCCTGTCATCAAGCGATCCTTCTGCCAAAGCCTCCCAAAGTGGTAGGATTACAGGCATGAGCCATGCACCAAGCCTGTCCTTATTTCTTAAATGAGTTCTTGCTAAATTAGGTTTATAACCAGTATTAGGAACAATATGTATAAGGATAGCTTGCTGGATTTTCTCAGGGCCAGGAAAGTCTTCTCAATACTGTGTCAGCAGTGAGACAAAGTGCTTCATATAGTAGTATTCAAGAGGACCATTTATCTGGGATATTGGAACAGATTTCTGTCTGGGGAGACCCCTTAGGTCTTTTCCAGCCATAAGTTCCTGGTCTTCAGTGTCTTTGCTTATTTACCTGCCAACTCCATTTCCATATGCATTCTACACATATACCTACATTGTAGATGGAGTTGGATGCCCTTAGGAACTTCAGCATGTTAAAGCTCTAGCCCCTTTAGGAGCCTGACCGTTAGAGCATTCTCTGTGCTCCATTCTTGCAGGCTGCTTCCTGCATGTGAGGACAAGGTTTCTATTATTGGAGACAGTCTGCAAAACAGTTCAGATTTAACAATCTTAAATCCCACTATTAGATTCATAATAAATTTAGAGTTCAGTAACAGTAGGAAGATCTGTAAAAAAACATGTTCTGCTTTTCAGGACTTTGCACCCCGTGTAATTGTGATGTATATGATTGCTCTTCTTGCTTTCCTATTCTACATTTCCAAAGTCCCAGAGCGGTACTTTCCAGGTAGGTATCTCTTTTATAGCAGTTTTGTATTGTTAGTCTAAATATATGCCCAAGGTATATGCATCAGAGCATCAAAACTTAGTTTCATTTTTTAATATTATTGATTATGGAAATGATTCCTCTCTTTCCAAATGTTACCTAAAACTTTCAAAGGGCTTTCACTTTTCCTTTCATCCTGATCATGTGAGTTGAGTCCAGTAGGTGGTGTTGTCACTGTTTTATGGTTATGAACTAGTGACAAAGCTGACATTAGACTTTGAGTCTTCTGACTCCCAAGCACTATTTCTTTTAAAAAGTAGAACACCGTCAACTACCATTTACTTCTCTATATGCCAGCTGGTTCTTTAAAAGTAATTTATATATGCAGAGATATATAAAGCAAGAAATAAGCAAAGGACAGTAAGAAAATGTAAATGACGAGTTAATGGGTGCAGCACACCAACATGTCACTTGTATACATATGTAACAAACCTGCACGTTGTGTACATGTACCCTAGAACTTAAAGTATAATAATAAAAAAAAAAGATAGTGAAAAGAAGTGAGGTGTAGGATCACTTCACAATATGTACATCGAAGGGGTCTATAAAAAAGATAAAGGTGACAAAGCTGGCTTTAGGCTTCCTGGCACCCAGCACTAGGAAGAAAATAGTGAAAGTTAAGAGTCTTTATGTTTCCAGAAAAAGTGAAAAGAAGTGAGATGTAGGATCACTTCACAATATGTACATCAAAAGGGTCTATAAAATAGATAATGGTGACAAAGCTGGCTTTAGGCTTCCTGGCACCCAGCACTAGGAAGAAAATAGTGAAAGTTAAGAGTCTTTGTGTTTCCAAGATACACAAGCCAATAGATTTTTTTGTTCTTCATTCCAAAGAAAATATTTTCAGATGGAAAATAACTAAGAGGACACTGGGTGGAGTGAACAACAGTCTCCAAAACCTGTATTTGCTTGTTTGAGAACTTTAGCTCTGGAGTCAGACTGCTTGGGTTCAAGACCCACATCAACCACTTTCTAGTTACGTGGGCTAAGTAAGTTACTTAAGTGCTCTCAGCTCCAGTTTTCCTATCTAAAACATGGAAATACTTTTTTTTCCCCCCAGGGTTAGGGTAAGGATTAGATGAGAAAATGCATGTAACACAGTTTAATGAGGGTTAGATGAGAAAATGCACATATCATGTAACCAAGTTTCTAGCAATTAGTAGGGACTGAATAAATGACAGCAATTATTACTATGTCCCCCAGCCCTGGTCTTATAAGTGAAATATGTGGTTTAGTAAGAGACAAAGTGATGCAAATCCAGGTAAGTTTTGGCATGGGTCAGAAATAACATTTAGAGTACATAAAACTGATGTTTTTTTTCAGTTTGGAGAGCTATGAGTCAGGGAGCAGTTTAAATCTAAACTGCAAATTTATCCCCTCTTCTTCCTGGGTTAAGAATCACTTCCACGGTGAATCAGAGAAGGGATTGTACCACTCGTCACGTGTGTTGGGAAAGAAGAAAGGGTGAGAAACCCTGGCCTAAACAATCCATCCCACAGATCCTCAGGCATTCCTTTGTGTACTTGGTTTTTCACCACTGAGCTTTAAATAAGAATGGAAATACAAGGGAAAACCTGCGTTGTAAACATGAGGATTTGGGAACAGATCTAGGACATGCCACTGAATTGAAGACCACCCATCTTCCAGGCAGGGCCAGAATTACAGAAAACAATTCTGGTAAAATATATTTTTGTATCACTTTATTAATAATTCTTTTTAAAATTCTGTATTTTCTTTATAGCAAGACAAGTAGAACACTAAACCATGAAAATTCTCTATGTGATTATGACCATAGTGGGTTTTAGGCCTTAAAATATTCAGATCAGGAGTTACCAATTGTTTAATATAGGACATATATAAACAATCAAACTTATTGTAACTTAACCTTCCCCAAGACACACTTGACATAAAATGTGCCCTATGTAGCAGAGCATATTGAGTTTGGGTACATGAGAGCAGTGGAGATATGGAAACTAAAAAATTAAGTCTTTCCAGTGAAAAGTGATAGTCTCAAATGTTCATATATAAATGCCTTAGAAACTATCTCTGGCAAGTCCTCATGTATGACCTGGCCACTGGGAAATAAAATAAATTTTAAACTAAAAGCTTTCATTCAGCTCAGGTTGAATGTTTAAAAATGTATACACAACACAGTGGCATTTGATGGGTCCAAGGGTCCCCAAGGTGTCCATGGATAGAATTGAGTGGATCTCTGATAGTTGTATTAGATAATCAATATTTGTTGTAATCCTCTGTGTTTTGTTTTTTAAAAAAATGGGTCTGTAGGCTTCACTAGACTGCCAGAGGCGTCCATGGTACAAAAAAGGCTAAGAATCTTATTGATATACACTTTAAAATCTATGTACTGTACTGATTGGTAAGAAAAAAGAGAGGTTAGAGAATATTTACATTATATGACCATAGAAGCACCATGAG